>NC_000009.12:105947824-106099339 GCF_000001405.40 Homo sapiens
CACTGCCTTAGCTGTTTCCCAGAGATTCTGGTATGTTGTATCTTTGTTCTCTTTAGTTTCAGTGAACTTCTTGATTTCTGCCTTAATTTCATTATTTACCCAAAAGTCATTTAAGAGCAGGTTGTTTAATTTCCATGTAATTCCATGGTTTTGAGTGACTTTTTTCCCTCAATTTTGATTACGTGGTTGATTTTAGAGTATGTGACATGTGGCAATGAGAAGAATGTATTTTCTGTTGTTTCTGGCTGGAGAGTTCTGTAGAGGTCTATCACATCCATTTGGTTCAATGTTGAGTTTAAGTCCTGAATGTCATTGTGAATTTTCTGCCTCAATGATCTGTCTAATACTGTTAGTGGAGTGTTGAAGTTTCCCACTATTATTGTGTGGGATTCTAAGTGTCTTTGTACATCTCTAAGAACTTGCTTAATGAATCTGGGTGTTCTTGTGTTGGGTGCATATATATTTAAGATAGTCAGATCTTGTTGAGTTGAACCCTTTACCATTATGTAATGCCCTTATTTCTCTTTTTTGATCGTTGTTGGTTTAAAGTCTGTTTTGTCAGAAATTAGGATTGCAACCCTGCTTCTTTTTTCTAATTTTCATTTGTTTGGTAGATTTTTCCTTTATCTCTTTATTTTGAGCCTGTGGGTGTCATTGCACGTGAGATGGGTCTCTTGAAGACAGTATACCATTGGGTCTTGCTTTTTTATCTAGCTTGCCACTCCGTGCCTTTTAAATGGGGCCATTTAGCCTACTTACATTCAAGGTTAGTATTAATATGTGTCAATTTTATCCTGTCATCGTGTTGTTAGCTGGTTATTATGCCTGCTTGTTTGCATGGTTGTTTTACAGTGTCATTGGTCTATGTGCATAAGTGTGTTTCTGTATTGGCTAGTAATGGTCTTTCCTTTTCATATTTAGTGCACCTTTCAAGATCTCTTGTAAGGTGGGTCTGGTGGTAACAAACTCCCTCCACATTTGATTATCTGAAAAGAATCTTATTTCTCTTTCACTGAGGAAGCTTAGTTGGGCTGGATGTAAAATTCTTGGTTGAAGATTTTGTTTTTTAAAAATGTTGTGTATAGAACCTCAATATCCTCTGGCTTGTAGAGTTTCTGCTGAGTGGTCTGTTGTTAGCCTGATGGGGTTCCCTTTGCAGGTGACCTACCCTTTCTCTCTAGCTGTCTTTAACATTCTTTCTTTCATTTCAACCTTAGAAAATCTGTTGATTATGTTTTTTGGGGCTGATCCTCTTGTGTAGGATCTGGCAGGGGTTCTCTGTATCTCCTGAATTTGACTGTTGACCTCTCTAGCAAGGTTAGGGAAGTTTTCATGCACTATATCCTGAAATATGTTTTCCAAATTGTTTGCTTTCTCTCTGTTCGTTTAAGTGATGCCAATGATTCATATATTTGGCCTTTTTACATAATTTCATATTTCTTAGAGGTGTTGTTCATTCATGTTTATTTTTTCTTTATTTTTTTCTGACTGTCTTAATGCAGAGAGGCAGTCTTCAAGTTCTGAGATTCTTTCCCCAGCTTGGTCTATTCTGCTCTTAATACTTGCAATAGCATTGTGAAATTAACATAGTGTGTCCTCCAGCTCTGTCAGATCAGTTAGTTTTTTTAAAAAATACTGTGTGTTTCATCTTTCAGTTCCTGTATTGTTTTGTTGTGATTCTTAGTTACCTTGGATTGGGTTTTGCTATTCTCCTGAATCTCAGTGATCTTCATTCCTATCCATATTCTAAATTTTACTTCTGTAATGCAAGTGAATTCAACCTGGTTAAGAGCCCTTGTTGGAGAACTAGTGTGGCCATATGGAGGACATAAGACACTCTGGCCATTTGAGTTGCTAGAGTTCTTGCATTGGTTCTTTCTCATCTCTGTGTGTGGCTGTCCCTTTAACTGCTGGGCTGCCTCTGATTGAAGTGGTCAGGACAGAGGCAGGGTGCTGGAGTCCCAGGTTGGGCAGCCTTACTCTGTGAGGAGAAGTGAGAACCAAGACCTCACTTTTGCATGAGGTAGGTGCTCTGTGCTGGGCATCTGGACCAGTCCCTGGTCCCACAGACTCTCCAGATATGGAAAAAGCAAGGACCAGGGCTGTGATACAGCCAAGATGGCAACCTATGCCTCCTACTGGGAGCTCTCTTCCAAGGGGTTGCAGAGTTGCTACTGGATTGATTGTTCCAGTTTGGGTGGCTGGAGACCCACACCAGGAGAACCTGCCCAGTGAGGAGATACAGGATTGGAAACCCATGTAACAAACAGTCTGGAAACTTTTCCACAGGGCTGCTGCAGTACCTGAAGATATCAACAGTAAAGACTACAAAACAGCAAAGATGGTGATCTGCCCCTTCTTTTGGGAGCTCCAGGTATGGATCTATTGCTGGCTCAGACATGCTGGTGGGGTAGGGTGCTGGGGGCCTGGGCTGGGAGGTCCTGCCCAGTGAGGAAAAATGGGGTCAGGAAACTGTATAAAAGCACATTTTGATAGAGCAACTGTGCTGTGTTGGGGGTCTGCTCCAGCCTCTAGTCACCTCAGACTCTCTAAAGCCTGAAGGTGACAATGGCTGAGACTGCAAGTCAACAAAGATGGTGGCTTACCCCTCCCTCTGAGGGCTCTGTCCCAGACAGGTTTGGAATTGCTGCCATCTGGAAAACACTGGTGAGGGTGGTTGTAGACCTCAGTTGGGAGATTCCATCCAGTGAAGAGAAATGGGATCTGGGACCCATGTGAAAAAGCAGTCTCGCTGACTCTTCACAGAGCTGCTACACTGTGCAGGGCAATCAATCCAGTCCCTTGGTTGCCTCGGATTCCCCAGAGCCTGAAGGCATCAATGGCTAAGGCTGTGAAACAGCAAAGATGGTGGCCCACCTCTCCCTCTGGGAGCTCTATCTCAGGGATGTGTAACACTGCTACCCATGGCTGGCTGGAGTTCCAAGCCAGTGGATCTTATCTTGTGAGGTGTTATGGAAACAGGGCCTGCAGACTGTTGCTGCTCAACCCCCTGGATTCAGCCTTTTTCCTAGGGGTCTGTACAGGGGCCTAACCTCTTGCTTTGCTGGAAAGCCTGGGCATCTAAAGCTCACAGGGCTCTACTTATGCCTGAGGGTCTGCTCTGCTGAGACTCCATGTAGCTCTGCATGTCAGACTGTGGGCCCTGGTGGAGTGGGTTCACAAGGGAGTCTCCTGACCTGAGGTTTGCAAAGATTTATGGGAGTAGTGTGGGTCCCCAGGGTCACTCACTTACTCACCACTTCCCTGGGCAGGGGAGACTCCCCTGGCTCCTTGTTCTTTGTTGCTCCTGCGTAAGCAGTCCTGCCTTGCTTTTTTCTGTTCTGTTTTCTGTCAGTCAAGGTGGTTTTTTTTTTTTAATTAATCTCAATGTGTGTAACTGAGTATTTCAGTTGAAGGTGCTATGTTTACTTGCCCCTTCTATTTCCCTCCATGACAGCAGTGCACACTAGCTGCTTCTGTGGACCATCTTGGCCAGCCCCCCTTGGGTTTTTTTTCTTCTTTATTTTGTTAATATGGTGAATTGCATTTTTTTTTTAAATGTTAAACCAACCTTGCATTACTGGAATAAATACCACTTAGTCATGATATATTAACTATTCCTTTGATACATTGCTAGGTTTAACTTGCTAAAAGTTTTTGTACCTGTGTTTATGAAGGATATGAATCTATAGTTTTTAAAATTGTAATATCTTATGTAATTTTAGTATCAGGATAATGATGCTACTCTTTTTTCCTGTTTTCTGGAGGAGTTTGTGTAGAATTGTTATTTTTCTATTCCTCATATATTTGGTAGAATTCACCAGCAGGGATATCTTGCCCTGAAGGCTTTTAAATAAAATTTTTATAGAAAGGTTTTTTTTTGAAACAAGTAATTTCATCTCTTTAGTAGATATCAGGTTATCTATTTCTTCTTGATTGTGCTTTACTAGTTTTCAAAATGTATGTTTATTACATTTAACTTGTCAATTTTTCTTATCTTTTTAATATGTGTACTATTTATAGTTTTTTATTCCTGATATTCCTTCTTATTCCTGATATTGGTAATTTGCGTCTTCCCCTTTCCACCACTTTCAACTCAGTTCAGCTAGAGATGTAGGAATTTTTTTAAATTAAAGAATCATCTTTTGGCTTTATTTTATTTATTGTTTATTTCCTATTTCATTGATTTTTGCTTTTTATTTACTTTCTTCTGTCTGCTTTGGATTTACTTTGTTCTTTTTTTTCACTAGCTTCTCAAGGTCATTAATTACAAGTTATTCTTTTTTCTTTTTCCTGACATGAACATTTAAAGTCATAAATTTCCCTCTACTGCCTTTACTGCATCCCACAAATTTATTTCTATGTTGTATTTTTATTATCATTTGGTTTCAAATATTTTCTAATTCTTTGATTTTTATTTGACCCATGGATTATTGAGATATCTGTTGTCCAATTTCCAAACATTTGTAATATTCTAGCTATATTATTGTTATTGATTTATAATTTAGTCTTTTGTGGTCAAAGACCATACTTTGTATAACTTCAATCCTTTGAAATTTATCGAAACTTGCATTATGACATAACATATGTTCTATATTGGTGAATGTATCAAGTATATTTGAAAATAATATGTATTGTGTAGTTATTGGGTGTAAAGTTCTATAAATACAAATTAGGCAAAAACGAATGACATGTTCAGTTATTCTATGTATCTACTTGTTTTTTTTT
Source organism: Homo sapiens (assembly GCF_000001405.40). NCBI lineage: Eukaryota > Metazoa > Chordata > Mammalia > Primates > Hominidae > Homo > Homo sapiens. Next base: position 105,952,553 of record NC_000009.12, read on the forward strand.
CTAGTTTTTAAGTAATTTGCTGAAAGAGGGGTATTAAATTCTCCTGCTCTGATTGTAGAATCATCTATTTCTCGCTTTAATCTTATCAATTTTTGATTTGCTTATTTTAAAATTCTGTTATTAGGGACACACACATTTATAATTGCTATGCCTTTCTGATGAATTAATCCTTTTATTATTATAAAATATTCTTCATTTTTTTTCTAATACTCTTGAGATCTATTTTATCTGCTATTATCACAACCACTGTAGCCTTATTATGGTGACTCTTCATATGGTGTGTCTTTTTCTGTCCATTTACTTTCAACTTTTAAATTTATATTTAAGATATGTCTCTTGTAGATAGAATTTGGTTGGGTCTTCATTTTAAAAAATCCATTCTGATAACCTGTGCCCTTTAATTGCAGTGTTCAGTTCAATTAACATTTAATATAATTACTGATATGGTTGAATTTAGGTAGCCATTTTATTTTTTATATATTTTGAATCCCTCTCATTTGTCCCACCCTCATCTTACCTTCTTTTGGGTTATTTCAATATCTTAATTTCCATTTTAGGACACTTATTCATTTCAAATTATATTTCTGTACATTTCAAAAACATGTTTGTTCTATACATTCTTTTCACAGTTTATGCAGTCCTAATATGATAAAAAGTAGAATTATTGTAATACATAGATAGGTCTATTTACTTTCTATCTTACCACTCTTTAAGTTATAGTTGTCACATATATTACATCTAAGTACATGTAAATCCTACAAGAAAATGTCATACTTTTTGCTGTGAAATATCCTTTGAATTCTAAAGAAATTAAAAGAAGAAAGTGTTTTCATTTACCCATATATTTACCATTTATATTTCCTACTCTTCATTCATTCCTGAAAATCTAAGTTTTCCCTTGATATCATTTCCTTCAACTTGAAGACCTTTTTGTACAGTTCTGGTGGAGACCAATTTCCTTAGTTTTTCATTACCTAAAAATGTCTTTATCTCACTTTCCTTTTTGAAGCAAGCTTCACTGAATTTAGAATTCTAGGATGACAGTTATTTTCTTGTAACATGTTAAAGATGTTCCACTGTCTTCTAGCCTCTATAGTTTCTGGGAAAGGTTTGTGAGAAAAGTTTGTGATAATTTCTATCACTGTTCTCCTATATGGAACGTGATGTTCTTTTCTGGCTGCTTTCAAATTTTTGTCTTTCTCTTCCCTGAACATCAGTTTGGCTATAATGTACTTAGATATGGATTTCTTTGCATTAATTCCCTTTGAGGCTTTTTGAGCTTCCTAGATCTGTACATTTCCATCTTAAAAAAATTGGAGACGTTTTCTGGTATTTATCTTTAAAATATTTACCTGCCCCATTGTCTTTCTTGGTAAGATGTATTGAAATTATTTCATGGGTCCCTGAGGTTCTGCTTATTTTTTTTTTAATTTCCCCTACCTCTCTTATTCAAATTAGATGATGTTTATTGACCTATCTTCAAATTCACTGACTGTTTCCTTTAATCTCCATTTTGCTATTAGGACCATCCACTGAATTTTTCATTTGAGATGTTTTAGTATTTAGTACTAAAATTTCCATTCATTTCTTTTTTATATGTTATTTTTTCTTGCTGAGGTTTTTAATCTTTATATTCATTATATTTCCTTGACATCACTGACTATACTCACAATAGCTATTTTGAAATTCTTTCCTGATAATTCCAACATACAGGTCATCTTGACATGGGCTTCTATTGTTTGCATTTTCTCTTGAGACTGGGTCACATTTTTCCGGAACTTTGTATGTTGAGTAATTTTGTATTTTATCCTGGATGCTGTAGAGGCAACATTGTAGAGACTCTGAATTTTGTTTTATTGCTCTAGAGAGTGTTGATGTTTCATTTTAACAGGCATCTTATTTCCTTTGGTTTAAACTGAAGCCTGTAATGCCTTTGCTGAGTGGAAGTTCAGAACTTAGTTTAATTCTATAATCCTTAACTGCTAGCTGCTTTCTATTTGACCCATTCATACATAATTCAGGGGACATCCAGAAATTTGAGCTGAGTGTAAACAGAATTTGGTGGTATTCTTTCACGGTTTTCTTCTCCCACAGCTTCTGATTGTCTACTTTGCCTGGAATTTTCCTAGTTCCTCCAGCCAGAAAAGTAGGAGACTTTTTCTTGGAATTTCAGCAATGCTACTTTGGTCATGATTCTGGTTGTCTTTAGGGCATACCTGCAAAAACTATAAATCACTCTGTGCTGACTTCTTACTATAAGTTTGACTGCCTTTCAAAATATGCCTGCTTTTTTTCAGTTCTTGGAACCATCAAGTGTTTATATTTTTTCTCCTAGCATTTATAGATATTATTTATGGAAAGATACATTATTAGACACCCAGCCTTGAGTTAGCTTGAGTTTACTTGAGTTAGCTTGACTGGGTTTTTGTTTCTTGCAGAACCATAACAGAAGCCATTAATTATGGAATCCAGGATTACTACAGGCTTGGCAGAATGTTGCAGTGGCAAAGGCATAGGTTTGGGAAATGGATATACCACTCTATTTAAGCTATATGACTTAAGTAAGAATTAATGTTAGTTGTCTATTGTTGTATAATAAATTACTTGAAAATGTAGTCACTTAAGATGAAAAACATTTATTATCTTACATGGATTTTGAGGGTCAGGAATTTTGGAGCTATCTAGATGGATGATTCTGTCTCAGAGCCTTTCATGAAGTTGCAATCAAGTTGTCAGACAAGGTTGCAGTGCTAAAGACTTGACCAAGGCTAGAAAATCTATTTCTAAGCTTACCCACTGTTGTCAGGAGGCTGTTGGCAAGCAGCCATGTGTCCTTGCCACATGGGCCTCTCTATAGGGCCGCTTATAACGTGGCTTTTTCCAGAAAGCAAGTAATGTGTGTGTGTGTGTGTGTGTGTGTGTGTGTGTGTGTGTGTGTGTGTGTATGCAAGAGAGAGAGGTGGGGGGTGTTACCAATTAATTCACATAAATGAGCCTCCTTTCTTATGCTATCCTTAGCAATCGGCTTTGAGTTTCTTAGAATCTAAACTACTAGGTAGCTGGTTTACTTACTGTAGCTTTCAAAGCTCATTGTCACATTAAAGCTGTTGCTTTCTTTCAGCACCATTCCCTAAATCTTTAATCTGAGGTAGCTTTGTAATTCTAAGATAAAAATCTTAGAATTTATGAAAATCCTAGTGATATGAAAGAATCCTGAGCATCATGCTTTGACTCACTGTTATTCTAATAATTCATTTTGGACTTTTTGGAAGACACCAGAGGGCATAGCTGCATGAAAGTTTAAGAAGAGAATAGCTGGGTTGATTCTGGTGCTTCTTACAATCAACAGAATCCCCTCACTTCCCTCTGTCCTTTCCATGAGTAATTCCCACTTTGCTACAGCAGAGAGGCTTGGATCCTGGCGTTTCCCTACTCTGTAGCCAGCCCATTTCCATTTTTCCATTCTTATTCTCAAGGAGGAAGAGTTGGACTTTAATAGCTCCTGTGAGGTTCTCCTCCCTGGCTGTCCCCAACAGTAGTGTATTGCTTCTGTTCTACCTCTGGAGTTTCCTATTCTCTATCTCTTTGTACTTTTTGGATCCATATTATTTGTACTGTACACTTAGTATAGAAGCTAACATTTTGGTTGTAACTGTAAACCTTAAAGTGTGTCTAAATTCCATGGGCTCTCCAGATTGGGAGGTTGCTGAACATGTAGAAATATGCTTGCTTTTAACTTTCAGCACTTGTAACAATAGCAACAGCGGCAACAACAAAATTGTCACCGTAAGGGAACCTAGAGAACTCCTTGAATCTATACATTGCATTACTCCATTGTATGTGAAAATGGTTTCAAAAGTAGGTATCTTTTGGTCTTTTGAATAGTTAACATGGCTCTAATAGACCTCATTTTGCCAGAGTATGAAGTGAAGGAAACCCTTGTGAGAGTGCCTTTGGAACACTCGCATTTGTGTAAAGAAAATGAAAGAGAATCATAACGTTGCCCATGTAACCTGATGTTTTTTTCCCTGCTATTGGAGTGTGTAGCCATGGTTTTCTGATTAAGGTATCTTTGAGTTTCCTTCTCCATTTGGCACTCAGTCCCCCTAAGCTATTTTCCTGACATCTGAACCAAGTCTCCCTCTTCGTTTTTGACCAGGGTGTCTGCCTATATTTCCATCCTCAAGACTAGGCAATGGAGATACCTTGACCTTTCCCTTCCATTCATATCTTTCAATTTCCAAAGGTACCACTCAAGCAACATTAACACTCAGTGATATGGCCAACGACTGCTAAAGAGTAAAGAGGATGTGGGAGGAAGGGCAGGAACCAATGTGCTGCTATGCATACTCAGTTTCTCCAGTGATTTAGAGTCAGATGATCTGAAGAGACATAGATTGTGATGGACATAACTTACTTTGTCACCTTTTTTCACTAGTATGTGTACAAACATAGCCTTTTCTATATTATTTATGTCAAGAGAGTGTCCTTAAGCTCATTAGTTACCTCTTTTATATTAAAAATTATGACCTAGTACCCCTGGCAAACAAAAAAATACTCATCCCCTAAAGCTCTTGATGTCTTTAATTGAGTAGATTCCATATTTGTTTCTTTGGGTCCCACATCAGTAGTCATTAGCGCACACTCTGGAGCCATTCTGCCTGGGTTTGCATCCTTGCTCTGGCACTTACTAGCAGTGCAATCTTGGGCAAGTCATATATCCCCCTCTCTGTGCCTCACTTTTCTAATCTGTAAAGTGGGGATAATTATGGTACCAACCTTATGGGGTTGCTATGAAGACTAAGTGAGTCAATATTTATGAACACCTTAGAACAATCCCTGGTACTTAGTAAGTGTTACTTAGTAAAGTGCTGCTGCTTCTCTTCCTCTTCTTTTACTTGTCCTTCTCCTATTCTTCTTAAGCACTCTGGATCCTGGCCTTTCCTATGGTCCTGAGATGATCAAAACATAGGGAAGAGCAGAGAGCAAGGCTGGAGAAATTATATGTCAAGCTCATATGACTTGTCTTTCCAGAAAAATATAACTTACTTATTGAGCCTTATTATATGTTAGACACTTAACATGTATTTCTCTAATCCTTACAGCAACCCTGGAAAGCAGATATCATTATTCCTATTTTATAAGTGAAAATAGAGTAACTTTACCCAAGTTACTTTGGTAATTTGCCCAAGGTCCCACAGTGTGAGTCCATTTTTTGTTGTTGTTGTTGCTATTAAGGAATATCCATGGCTGGGTAATTCATAAAGAAAAGAGGTTTATTTGGTTTATGGTTCTGCAGATGGTGCAAGAAGCATAGTACTGGCATTGGCTTCTGGTGAGGGTTTCAGGCTGCTTCCTCTCGTGGCCTAAGGCAAAGGGGAGTCAGTGTGTGCAGAGATCACCTGGTGAAAGAGGAAGCAAGAGAAGGGGAGGTAACAGGCTCTTTTTAACAACCAGCTTCTGTGGGAACTAATAGAGTGAGGACTCACTCATTACCATGAAAACAGCACCAAGCCATTCATGAGGTATGTGACCCAAACACCTCCCATTAGGCCCCATTCCAGTACTGGGGATCAGATTTCATCATGAGGTTTGAGGGACAAACATTATCCAAACTATAGCACACAGTTAGTAAGGGCAATTTTGAAGTTCAAACAGCTCATCTGACTTCAAGCCCATTTAATTTTCTCTCTGCAATTGGGACTTTTGTGATTCCTTAATTCCTTGCACTAAGATTTTGTTTTTTTTTTCTTTTTCTTCTTTTCTTTCTTTTTTTTTTTTTTTTTTTTTGAGATGGAGTTTTGCTCTTGTTGCCCAGGTTGGAGTGCAATGGTGCAATCTCGGCTCACTGCAACCTCCACCTCCCAGGTTCAAGTGGTTCTCCTGCCTCAACCTCCCAAGCAGCTGGGATTACAGGTGTGCACCACCATGCCCAGAAAATTTTTGTATTTTTAGTAGATATGGGGTTTCACCATATTGGCCAGGCTAGTCTTGAACTCCTGACCTTAGGTGATCCACTCGCCTCAGCCTCCCAAAAAGCTGGGATTACAGATGTGAGCCACTGTGCCCAGCCTATGCTAAGATTTTCAAGTCCTAGGGAAAGGGATGGATGGAAAAGGCTTGTATTATTTGGATGAGATCAGGAGCTCTCCTTGTAGAAAGCAGAGTAAAAAGCTCAGAGTTGTGTGAACACTTGAGTGCTGACCTCACAAGTTAATAGGCTGTAGGTGGCACCAGTAGCATGATCAACAAAGCTGTGTCATTTTAGTCGTTTAAAACTTAATCTTGGCTTCGGTATATTTGAGACTTAACTACACTAAATGCTTTTGGGTATATGTCCAGGTCTCTACAGGGGAGTACAATGGATGAGAGCGTCTTTATTTCTAGTAACATTGATACAGTTTTGTCCAAATACATGGAATATTCCCACCTCCACTGGTTTCTTTCCTAGTAACAAAGTCATGGGCCATTTATGGCCTCACCCACGTACCTCTCTATTGAAAGACATAAAATATGGCAGTGCATTTTTGTGCCAATGAGCAGGGAAATTGTCAGCTTCTCTTTTCCTTATTCATGTGTTTCCCAGGGTTGTCAGTTGGCATTATGGGTAGTGTGCATATTGATTGGTGCATATTGACTGGGTGTTGCAGACATCCTAACAAAATGAATAGATGAGATGTGGAGTTTCTCTTTGCTATACAAATTTGAGGGAAAATGCTGAGTTAATGGGAGGATGCTTTGGTATAAAATAAAAGTTAACATGAGCCAGGCTGCCAGCAGAAGTGCTAAGAGGAGAGACATTTTATAATTTATCAAGTTTTAAGTCTTTGTCTCACCAATAAACAGAAGTGTTATTCATGTTGATTAACTAAAAAGCCTCCTCACAGACAAGGATCTGATTCTGAGTTTAGGGATTCTTTGCTGATTATAACTTCAGGCTCCAGAATGGCTCTCCTTGTCCTCTCCCCTTTCCCGCCCAGTGCACCACTTCAGAAGAGGAGAGGCAGTTATATTCCTACTCTGTAATTCCTTATTTTGCCTCTTTCCCCACTAATTCATTCTGAACTCCACACACACTGATTTCCCTTTGCCTCAAACTGGTTTTACCTAATTATTAACCCAGCAGGAAGAATTAACTTGTAACTCCAGTGTTGTTTTTGTGTCTCTTGAGACATCTCAGCATGACTGAGCACCATAAAATTTGAGTTGTGATTTCTGGAGCTGGAGCGTAGTTGTAGAGAAGGAAACTTTGAGGGGTGGCTTGTAACATAAGGAAATCATTTTGATGCGAGTAAATGTCTGCAAGTGAACATTCACTAATGAGGTTGAGAGTTTATTTATAGCAAATAATCACCGTTATTATTCTTTACTTGCTATGCATCACCCCAGCACTGGGTTGTATACAACATGCCAAGATTTTTGCTGAGTGTTTCCTCTTTAAGTCATATGGACAAGACAATTTAAACATGTGAAAGATAATCAAATTAGAGGAGTGGGGAGTTTTCTTGATCTTTTATGTCACCAAGTTAAGGAATTAAGACAAACAGTTCATGTGTACATATCTGAAATCATAAATCTATGATCAGCATAGTCAAAAAGCGGTAGAAGTAGAATCTATTGGGAGAGAGGAATTTTGTGTGGAAGAGAATAATAAATAAAGTTATATGCTATTTGCTATGGCTTTTTAACATTAGCTATCATATGAAGCTGTTACTTGATGCCAGGAAAATCTATCCTGCTGCCTGTTTGTATAAATAAAGTTTTATTGGGGCTGGGCACGGTGGTTCATGACTGTAATCCCAGTATTTTGGGAAGCCGAGGCAGGAGGATCACTTGAGTTCAGAAGTTTGAGACCACCTGCGTAACATAGTGAGAGTCCATCTTTACAAAAAATTAAAAAAAAAAATTAGTTGGGTGTGCATACCTGTGGTCCTAGCTATTCAGGAGGCCGAGGTGGGAAGAAGAACATTTGAGCCCAGGAGGTCGAGGCTGCAGTGAGCTGTGACTGTTCCACTGCACTCCAGGCTGGGCAACAGAACAAGACCCTGTGTCTAAAGGAAAAAGTTTTACTGGAACAGAATCACATTCGTTTGTTCAGGTATCACCTACGCCTGCCTTCACATTATAATGGCAGAATGAAGTAGTTGCTACTACTTTACTATTTAACCTATCTGGAGCACAGATAGGTTAAATAACTCACCCAAGCTCACACAGTTAGGAAGTGGTTGACTCAAGATTCAAACTCAAGCAGTCTGATTCCATAGCCTGCCCTCTTCACCATTGTACCATACTGCCCCTTTACTATATAAGACATAAATCTAGTTGCCTTGTAGGTAGAAAACAACTTGAATTTACCAGTCCATTGTTCCTCTCACCAGCCTGGCTCAGACTCTGTCTGGACCAATTGAGGTGAACTAGAGGCTACACTGGGGAAGTGGCTGAAGGTACCATCAGCAGTGAAGCCATCTGCTGTGGTCTGAATGTTTGTGTCCCCTCTCAAATTCATATATTGAAATCCTAACCCTTAATGGGATGGTATTTGGAAATAGAACCTTGGGGATGTAATCAGGTAATGAGGAGGGGGTGCTCATTAATATGAGTGCCCTTATGAAAAGACATAAGGAAGTTTGCTTTCTCTCTCTTAATCCTGTGAAGATATAACAAGAAGATGACTGTCTGCAAACCAGGAATAGTCCCCTCACCAGACACTAGATCTGCTGGTGGCACCTTGACCTTGGAATTCCCAACCTCCAGAACTGTGAGAAATAAATGTCTGTTGTTCACGCCACTCTGTGTATTCTGTCAGCCTGAACTGACTAAGACAACACCTATTTTCTACCATTGGGTCAAGGTATGCCAGACTGAACTCTGCCTAGGCAGACATTGGTGTTTTCTTTTTAAAAGTTTACTTCCAGTCTGGCAGTACAATTGGCACATGGTAGGAATTCAAAGACTGTCATTATGGAGTCCCTGCCGAGTTTCTATTAGCTTTTCTTCCTGATATTAGCACCTTGAATTTCCACTGAGAGAGCACTTCTCCACCATAGTCATTCATGTAGACTGAGTGGGGTTGACCTCACCCTAACTCCAGTGGTGGGTCCTGATTAGCCCATCAAAGTGTCCTGTCCTTCTTTCTATCATGATGGTGTAGTGATGGGAACATGATTTAAGCTGATCCAACTAGAGTAAAGCTCACCATCTGTCATGGAATTGCAGGGGCATAAATGCTCTCTTCCCCACAGAAGGTGGTAATAAGAGGATTTGTACCATGGAACTGTCTTCTCTGTGAGAGGAGAACTTGTAGTTGCTAGGGAGCTGCTATGTAAGGTTTGAAGTTGGAGCTACCCAGATTTTTACCTGGGGCCTGAAACCAGACTTATTCCTTGAATTATTGATTTACAAATTTTTGTTGTTGTTGTTGTTCAAGCAGATTTGGGTTTTGGATTTTCTGTTGCTGCCAGATTTCTAATTGATAGAGGCAGCAATCTAGTGTAGAGCAAAGAAGATAGGACTAGAGTGAGGAAATCTGTGTTTAAGATCTGGCTTTCCAATGAACTAGTTTTGTGTTCCTGCATATGGTGGCTGATTTATGATTCCTGTTTCCCCACTTGAAGAAAAAGGACAGCCCCATCTTCCTCATAGGACTGTTGTGAGAAGGAAGATACATCATTTATACCTTCAGAATTGTGTTTGAGGGTGGAGAGAGTATCCCCAACAGGGTTGAAATCTTGCAGACAGAAGTCAGCTCTACTTTGTCCACTGAGATACAGCAAAGCCCTCCAGAGCTCAGTCTTGCTTCCCTGTCAATTGCACAATGGTTGGATGATGCCATTTATGTATCTGGTTTGACAGACATCTCACTTTATTCATTTTCAAGACGAAGGATTCTTTCACTAGTCTCCCCCAGATTTTCTACTTTGAGTCAGGAATGGAGGACAGAGTGGGTGGATGAATAATGAGAACGCTATGTTGCCTCAGGTGGAAATGATCAGATAGAGGATAGATGGCCACACATTAGGGATGCAGAGAGGGCATACCTGCACCTGCACCAGACCTGCATGTGTTCCACATTTCTTTCTAGGTAGAAATTTTTAAAGTAATTGGCATGTTGTACCATTAGAATAGCAAGCAGACAACCAGGCTTTCAGTCCAGGTACCATTTCTCACTGTACAAGGCTGTGCTAGTAACTAAATGGTTTAAACTTCCTGAGGCCTCAGGTTTTCTCATCTGTCAAATGGGCATCTAGTATGTACGCTGGCAACCTTACATTGCTGGTATGGGAATAAAATGTGGAAAATGTCAGTGAAAATATTTTGGATTTGCGGAAAGCCCAAGTAAGACAGTATGCAAAAATTCAGAAGCTGCACATCTTTTTAGATTTCGTTCTTACTCACTGAAACCCTTCGCAAAGGGAATTCTCGCTCTATGAATTACACTTTCCAATAGCATGTCTCACAGGGCATGTTAACTTCTAAGCCACTGATGATCTTCAGGACTCAGTGTGTACATGCAGCTACTGTCTAGAGAAGGCCTGTGGATCATCTTCATTGTCATCATCATCTGCGTATCTGCATCCTCATCACTGCATCATCACCAGTGCCATTTATTAAACACAAGGTATATCAGGCATTATGGTTGGTGGTTTACATATATTCTCTAATTTAAACCTTGCGATATACCTGTAAAATATTATCTCCTTTTTATGTATGAGAAAATCAAGATTCAGAAAGACTGAGTTTCCTAAGGTCACATAGTTAGTTGAGAGCTGTGCTGTAACCCAAACCCTTGCTCTTTTCACTGCACCATATTGCCTCTACCAAAGGGAGCTTTGGAATTAGACCTGGAAGTTCTTATCTCATTCCATTGCTTCAGCAATTCAACACAAAGGCTCTGGTCCAACCCTTTTCCTTTTGTGTCTCAGTAGGTAATATTTCATCCTTTTCCCCTCTGATCCCACCCTCATTGCCAGATTCTGGAACCGTCTGCATGTTTCTGGTCTATAGTTCAGCTTCTCTCCCCAGGCATTTGAGAAAGGCATTCTCCACAAAAAGGGAAAACACATTTTATTAAAGCAAACATGCAGTCCTCAGCACTTTTACTTATCTTATTTATACACTGCAGTGCAGCTTTCTATGACCTAGTGATTATCATTTCCCAGAGCTATCATCATTTTAAAGGTACCTGTTCATCCCGCTTCAGCAGATGGTACTATGCTAGGAGTATTGTAAGAGCTTTAAAGAAAGGAAAACAAACAAACAAAGGAAAGATCTGTGGTTGGGTCAGCCAGAGGAAGAACTCACTTGCATTGTCTCCCAGTACTGTTCTGTTTCAGCTGGGGCTATGATGTGTGACGTGACTCCTAGAGGCCTAACCACTGGGGAAATTTATTTAGTCAGTGGTTTTCTTTTTCCCCTCTTTCTCCCTGTCAGTTAGTGGCATAGAGTTGGTTTAAAATATTCTTATATCCGATCTTCCCAGTTAAATCTCCTGGTTAAATTGAAGTCATTTGTCCCTTTACTCACTCATCTGACAAAAGACTTTTTGAGCACCTACCCTATGTAAGGTACTGTTCTAGGTTTAAGTTTCAATTGGCACCAACAGTTCTATGTCCTTGGGCAAATGCTTTGCTTTTCCAGACCTCACTTTTTCCTTCTATATGATGAGGGGCCTGGCTCAGGTTGCTAAATCTCATCTCAGAAACAGAAGGATTGGAGCTTGTAAAACCATTTTACAGATAGAAAATTCTAAGGTTCCAAACAAGCCAGGCTTGTTAACAATGGACAGCATCCAAGGAGAACTCCCCAAAGGATTATAATGCAAGTAGGTGGGCTGCTCAGGCCTAGTGAGGACCAAGCTATCCTTCTTCTCTGTTTCAAATTCCCTGAAATTCTTAATACTCTAGAGCAGTGTTTCTCAACCTTTTTTTCATTATCTCCCTCATAAACAGCCTTTTAAGACATTTTTTTTGCTAATCCCCTCCCCTGTGAAATTTTAATCCCACAGAAATACTGGATACCTCTTTATGTACTATGACCTTTGGGAAGCAGGGAGCAAACCATGATAATATCTAAGGTTTTTGGCCTTCAAGAACCAAATTTCATCCCCTTGGTAGTTATATTGGCCCCTACTGAGAATGCATGCCCTAGAGCAAGGATTTTCACACTTGTCTTTTAGCCTATGCAAATTCTATGCAAAATTCAACATATGAAATGTTGAATGTTGTAAAAGCAGTATTTTACACAGTCAGTGAGGAAACAAGTTAATATCCTGGTAGTCTCCAAAAGGAACATTGAATACAGGACACTTGAATGTACCTTTTTTCTTTGTCTGTCTGTCTTTATTTATTTATTTATTTATTTATTTATTTATTTATTTATTTATTTTGAGATGGAGTCCTGCCCATCTTGCCCAGGTTGGAGTGCAATGGTGTGATCTTAGCTCACCGCAACCTCTGCCTCTCAGGTTCAAGTGATTCTCCTGCCTCAGCCTTCTGAGTAGTTGGGATTACAGGTGCCCACCACCACGCTCAGCTAATTTTTTGTATTTTTTAGTAGAGACAGGGTTTCTCCATGTTGGCCAGGCTGGTCTAGAACTCCTGACCTCAGGTGATCCACCCACCTTTGCCTCCCAAAGTGCTGGGATTACAGGTGTGAGCCACCATGCCCGGCTGAATGTACCTTTTAAAAATTATATTTTTAAAAGATATTTTAAAATGTATTTTGAGGAAAACAGTTTAAATGAAACATTGACAGAACCCCTAAAACACTGACGAACAGTTTGAACACCATTGCTGTATAGTCTTCTGGAACATGGGATTTAGAATCAGATGGGATGGATCTGAGTTTATTTGCTATTACACCGACTACCAGCTATACCATCCTGGGCAAGTGTTAGAGTTTCAGTTTCATCATCTGTAAAATGGGTATTTGAATGCGAATGTACTTCACAAGATATCTATAAGAACTGAAACAGATAATCAACTGTGCCTGACACACGGTAGGCACTCAGTAGAATTTAGTTATCTCTCATGCCACTCTTTGTCTTTACATTTTCTTCCATTGATTATAGCAACTTGTGCTTGAACACACAGGAAACAATAGCTGCTGAGGAACTGTGGCCAAATAAAACAAGGAAGGACTCCAGTATCACTCTCAATGTCTCTGTTTTCCCTTTCCTGAACACAGAACAGGGAAGGGTATTATTACGCTGCCTGAAATGATGTTAAACTGGCATGAGTCCTGACTTCTTTTCTTATGAAACTGGTGGACCCAGTTATTAACTCTTCATATCCTGAGTAAGGTAAATCTTGTAAAAAAAAAAAATCATGTCTCATTAAATGGAGACCACTCAGTTTTATAGGGGAAATACCAAATGTTGTTTTATAACAAACTTTCTTTAAAAATTATGCTCTATTTTGAGGATTTAGCAGTACATATCTTTTTTTTTCTTTTGGACATATGAGTTGTCTATGTATGTACATTTATGGATTTGTTGTGTTTTGAATGTAGTAATATCCATTGAGTATCAATGACCATGTTCTCTTCAAATTTCTAGTTGGGGTTGTTATCCATAAAGCTGGGAGATGACTTGCTGGGATTTGACACCAAGATAATTAAGAGTACTACCAGATATCTATGTTGTAAGGAGAGTTCAGGGCTGTAGTCTAATCCCATTTGAATTATTTCTGGCAGTTTGCCATGGTCATCTGTAGAAGAGGCTATGGGAGGGGGGTAATGTAACGTGCGTTCTTTCAGATCCATCAATATGAAAACCAGAAATGGTGATTCCAGTGGCCCTACTCCCCACTGTAACAAGTTTTCAAGAGGAAAAAACTATGGAGAAAATGAAAAAAAGCATAACAGATTCACTGCATTAACCTTAAAATTTCTGCTAGGGGAAAAATGTAGTATTTCTTCTTTTGTATGTATGTTGACTCCAATAGTTGATAAAACTGAAGTTCTACATCATAAATTCCCATTTGGACATTCAGTTCTGAGAACCTGCATCCAGCAGCCTTATCACTTTGAAGTAAAGTCACAATCACTAATGGAATCTGCTAGCTTTTCACACACTGAAATTAGCTTTGATTCTTCCCCCCAAACATATGTTTAAAAGCAACATGCGCATACTGTACACTGGCATACTGTACACTGACCCATCAAAGCAATCAATGCCATGGGGGAGGCTTGTGGACTCACCTATTGGGGTTGAGGAAAAAAAATGTATTTCTTTCAGGAGGAGAAATAGGATTTCTGAGCTGTCTTCTGGCCCCAAAGAAGGGAGAATCTCCTTCTTCCTTCCCTATGAAAGAAGAGAATGTAAATGCCATTTTCCTTTGCGACTGTGAATAATAACATTTATGCTCTGAGATTGGTTTGCTTCTTTAATATGAAAAATGATATTCTGTTTGGATGAGACATTTCCTTGAATGCTTAGCATAAATTGAGCCCTTAAGCTTTTAACAAGAAATTCTGGGCTGTCTTGCCTGAAAACTCTGAGTAGATCTTGGAAACATTGCAGGTTTCTTGATTTGATGCAAAAAACTAGCCTTTTTCATGAGATTACTAACAGCACCCTTTGTTTGATATTCAGGAAGAGCCATCCAAAACAATCCTTGTTTGTATATCATTTTTTCTCTATCTTTATCTCATTCCCTCTCTCAGATTCTATTGCTCACTTGGCTCTTTCTTTCTTTGTCTGTCTCCTTCTTCTCCCCTTCTTTCTTACTCTTCCTCTCCACACTCCCTCTTTGTCTCACATCTTTACATATACACTTCCTTTCCTTTTTATTTTTTAATCATACCCTTGAGTGACACAGACCCAGTTAAGGTATTTACAGAACTGAGAGATATGTATGCTGGAGAAGGAAATGCATTTTTCGTCACTCATAGTGACAATTAAAATGACAACAATAAGGCCAGACTCCTCCATCATTTTTTTTTAATGCTGTCAGCATCAACTTTGCCAGAATTATTCTGGCTGATGCATGAGTGGACTTAGTCATTTTTTACATTGTGTGATGCAGAGCTTCAATATCATTTCAGAGAATAAATTAGCCTCCATCTCATTTAAACCAGCATCCTAAAAACCCTTCTCAGCAACATGCTATTCTAGCCAAAGAAGGTATATTTGTATAGATATAAAATCTCTACAGATTTTTGGCTGGGATATTTGTAGAGCTGTAAAATCTTTCTCTTTGTAGCTTAGATGATGCATTAAATTCTGGTGTCAAGAGATCAAAGGCATTTTGGTGTATCACATTTGGATTCCCTAAGAGGACTCAGTGGGTAAGCTGTAGCCACTCAGATTGAGACTCTAACATATACCTTGATCATTCTTCGGTTCTGGAGAATACACAAAGGATGGCAGAAGCACTTGGAACCCTTCCAAGGGAATGCAAATACAAATGGCTAGTTGTTTCACAGTGTGTTTTGCATTTCTGTACTGGCAGGATGTATCTCCATGCTAGACAGAAATTTGGTTGAGCCTCTTTGAGACAGACTGTCCCTGCCTATGACTTGGGTACCCTGTTCTGCTGCTTCTCATTTTGATGCCTACAACGGATAGTCTGCTGACAGACTAAATGGGGTCCAAAGAAGACCTGTATTCATGTCTGCAGCTGCCAGAGATCTCAGAGTATTTTATTGTTTGAATGGTTTTTTAGAAGGGGAATGAGTTGGAGAGATGACTGCCAGGCAGAGGCTGATGCCACTGAAATCTCATTTGGAGAGGCTGAAGTCTGATTTTTCTTATAACATGTAACCTTCTGAAATAGTCTCCTGGGTGACACACACACACACACACACACACACACACACACACACACACACACATATGTATATATCTGCCCTCCTGATTGGTCCTTCTTTTA
The DNA here is from genome assembly GCF_000001405.40 of Homo sapiens. NCBI lineage: Eukaryota > Metazoa > Chordata > Mammalia > Primates > Hominidae > Homo > Homo sapiens. The sequence goes on from NC_000009.12 coordinate 105,968,425, forward strand.
CACTCATCTCTGCTCTGGCACTTGTATGACATTGCAGATACTAGTTTGTCTCTCTCTCTACCAGGCATGTGCTCTCTGAGGGCCAGGACTGCATCTTACTCATATCTGTGCCCCAGTATCTAGCACAGTGCCTGGCACATTCTAGGTGCTTAGTTAATACTGAGTAAAATTTCACAGACCAATTTACAAAAACTGCTTGAAAAAAAGAAGTATGATTTTGTATACTTGTGTCAGGCCTTCCCCAGACTTAGTTCAGGTGCATGCTTGGAGAAAATTTAGAAACCACAGCATAGATAAGAGTTATAAATCATTTAAGTAAAGTCAAAGGATGTTAAACAACCCTGGGAACTCATCAATCCTGATTTAATAGGAGTGAGAGATGTTATACATTTCAAATTCTGACTTTCTGGTTTTTGAGGGTAATGCCGTGTTGACCAATTGTTCATGCCCAACACTTTTCTTCTTCCTTTTTCATCTATGAATAGCAGTCTCATTGATGTTGGGAGATGTTCATGGATGTTGAAGGCATTTCACTTTGTTGTCTAAAGAAGGCTTTGTCCTAAAGGCATGAGATTATTCTTTCACGTGAGGTGGAAAGGAAAATAAGAAAGCCTCCTTCTGTCCTTGGGTTCACATTGTAGGAACTCTTTCTTGCAGCAATAAAAGCCTTTGGAAGAGACCTTTCATTATAAGGGTTTCATGTTAAGTACTGCGCATGGGGAGAGAAGCTAAATTCCAATTTACTCAGCTGTATTTCCCAAGATTTGTTCCCTTGCAGCATAGGGGCTCTGTGCGAGCTCCATCAGGCCACTGCAGACCAAGCCAGAGGATTTGAATATTAATGCCTTTCAGGTTTCCTTTTAGAGGAAGCCCTCTTAGTCACAATAGTGAGACTCTGCCTGCAAGTCTATGACTGAATGCAAGAATAAAGAGTTCAGAGTATATCAGTAAAAGGAAGAATCAGGAAAATGAACACAAATCATGCCCAACCATCCAACATGTCTCACCTTCTATCAGGGTATAGAGAATGCTGTTTCTAGGGAGAGATGCTCCTTGCTTAATGAAGGCTTGTCATTTAGAAGCCAAAATAAAATCAGTTTCCCATGTAGTCAGATACATTCTTGATGAGATTCCGAGTCTCACAAAAGAATTTGCAGATTCTTTCCACTCACATCAAGCATCTAAATGTTGATCTGGGGAAACAAAGACATGAAAAAAGGAAAATGAATTTGTTGTCAAATTGAAATACCACATTTTTGTATTGCTGGCTGATGTGTCTGTAATTCTCATCTGCCATTCCTTCATCATATGTAAGTGTGTGTGTGTAATTTTTCCCTCCAAACCTGCAAAACATTGCAAAACTAGATTTAAATATTTCAGGCGGACTGCACCCAGCATTTGCATTCCTCTGACTCATTCAGAGAAAAGACATCTGAGCAGAAATACAGCAGATAAAAGAGAAACCATTAATCCAAGGAAGATTACTGGCACAGAATCTTTATCTTGTATCCTTCCTGAAATGAGACAAAGATCTCACTATGTACATCCCTCTGGCTTAGCTTCAGATAGAAAGCAATATAGAAGTATAGACATGGTCCTTTTTAAAGGCACACTGCTGTATTTGTCTGAATTCTGAAGCATCATCTTTCTGTTAGATTCTTGCTTTCTTGAGTGTCTTGCCTTCTTTCTCAGCATCTTCTGCCCTGGCTTTCATTCCTTATAGTGTAGCTTTCTGACTGGGATCCCTGCCTTCCCCAGGATGTTAGAGTTGACTTTTAAAAGACTATTACATAACATCCAGGGTAGTACTAAGTGCTTGAGCCATGAGGCACTACAGCCAGAGCCTTAGCTTAATTCATTTACTGTAGGAATCTAGGTATAACTTTATTTTCTTTATCTGTTAAATGGACAAATACCTGATCCTTATAGCATACTTCAGGCACAGAAATGTTGGGTTCATTTGAAAAAGCTTTGGGAGTCGAAGTGATGTAAAAATGCAAGCTATAATATTTTAAGTATAATATTAAAAACAAGTTGAATACCAAATTAAATAACTTTTAAGAATATTAGCCCAATTTACTAAGAGCATTGAAATCAGTCTTTCTTAGGAAAGGATTCTACTGTCTTCTTAGTTAAAGCCAAATACAGTAGTCATTGCCATTGCCATTTTGAGCATCTACTGCGCTGTGTTGGGCATTATTCAGGAATTACCTTATTTAATTCCTGCAACAACCCTGAAAAATAAATGTTATCTATTAACATTTCTATTTTGCAGATTAAGAAATGGAAGTTTCGAGAGGGTAAGAAATTTGTCCGAATGTTCATAGCTAATGGGTGTCCGGATTTGAACTAAGGTCATCTAGGCTTTAAATTATTTCCAATATTTTATTCTGCTACTGCAGTTTATAAAAGTCCAATCAGGTTAATACTCAACTTTGATGTTTCTTCGTTTACATATTTCCACTCCAGATGGATGAGAATATGTGCAGTTACAAATGTATTACACACAAGGTGGTTTAATAAGCAGTTTCCAAGTTTAACAGCCCTCACTGTCATTTCCTGATGAATCGCCCCAGTCCATAGATCAAGCCTAATGCCTCTCAGTCTTACTGACAAACAGGAGCACTGGCCCTCACTCTACATACAAAGTGATGTCCTTATCCTGAGTGTCCCATGATGAAGGGAATGTCAGGTCTGAATCTCTCATAGAGAAGTGACACTAGTCTGAGATGTCTGTGGGCACTGCAATTGTCTCCATCTTCATCAATCAGAAAGGTGTTATCAAACAAGATGTGTTAAAACCTTCAGATACTCCATGACTTCTACAGTGGAAGGGATGATTATGATACTGATGATGAAGATAGAGAAGGGGTTAGCAAAGTGAGGAGCTAGAGAATAAATATTTCAACCTTTGCAGGCCACATGGTCTCTATCATTAACTACTGAACTTTGTCATTGTATTGTAAAGGCAGCTATAGACAATACATAAATGAATAAGTATGGCTGTGTTCCAATAAAGCCTTATTTACAAACAGAGGCAGAGTGCTAGATTTGGACTGCAGGTATAATTTGTTGACTTCTGACTTAAAGGAATTTGGGTCAATTATTTTGTGCAGGAATGATAGGAGTTATTCATCCCATTTTTATTTTAGTGGACCTCCTCAACCTAAGGTAAAGAGAGAATGAACAGTATACAGTATTCCCCTCTAGTCATTGTTCCTAAGATTACTAAAAAATATAAGTCAGGATGATGATGATGACGACAATAATGATGATGATTACAAAATAATGATGCTATTCACAACCATCTGAAATTGATGTAAGCAATTCTTTCTATCTCAAGCCATAATTGGAAGCCGTACTCTTCTCTGACCCCTATTCCTGCTGAGCTGCCAATGGTCATTGGCCATTTTAAAAATAATTTATCTCCATGTTACAATCATAGCAAAACCTACTGTATCCAATTAAATCTCCACTTACGGCAGCCCAGGGAGTGTGATCACTTTCTGGAGATAGATCCATATCCCTGTGACCTTATCTTCCTATACTTTGCATTTAGCTATGAAATTAAATTGCAGGAAACGATACAGTTTTGAATCATTCCATTCAAAAGGCAGAAGCCAAAAGTTCTCCTAAGAGTGACAAACACATGGACTGCTTTTTAGATGGGAAACATCAGTACTTTAAGTGGGCTCTGTAAACTGGGACAGAGGTTCAAACATCTCCAAGCCTGGTGGGGTTTGTGCTTTCAGATTTGCTCCAGCTAGATTTTATTTCCAACAAAGGCTCTTATTCAGATAAAGGGAGTTTGCCTTTCTTGTTTCCTAGGAGACTTTTTTTTTTAATAGTTCCCTGGAAAAGATTCTTCTTGAGGCATTCTCAATCTAACTTCCTCTTCTGGTTAAGAAACTGAAGAACGTTAAAACTTGAGGTTATGGAGAGTTATGCCAACTGGGACTAAACTGTGATTATTTTGTTGATTTAAACTGACAGAAAGGTGAAGTCAGAATAAAATCTTGTTTCTCCTGTAATTTAGAGGCTAGGAACCATGATGGCTTTTTCCCCCCTAATAATGTTCAAATTATCCATTCAGAGTGATTTGATTTCAGTTTGAAGCTGGAGATCGCAGTAATAATCTTTCGCAGTATGAAGCACTTATTTACGAAGTAGTCTTTGCCATTTTTAATTGCACTTTCCCCTCATGCCCTTATTAATTATCTCTCTAGTTCCTCTTAGGTCTTGTCACGATGCCAAGTATTGAAATAGAAAAGGTTTATTTATTTCCAAAGACATGCAGAACAGGACAGGTTTTACATCTTGCTGTTTTGACTCTTAAAAGGTCATACTTGCAGTGGGCAAAAAGGTGCTCCGTGTAAATTGGGACCCCCCTGGATTTTCTGCTGGTAATGCACCCTTGGGACTGTTGCTTGCCTGGGGCATCCTTGGAATCCTGAAAAAGTGTTGTGTTTTGTGAATCTAGTGAAGCTGGAGTTCCCAAATAAAATGTTTTTTTTTGCTCAATAATGGTCAGCAACTCCCATATGCTCCTGGGATTAGATATTATTTCCTCTCATATGACCACAGCTTTGTTTTCTTCTACTTTGCTCTGCTTAGTCAAACAAGTCTCTTCAGTGTGCCCAAACTCTTCTTAACACTTTACTGCCTCTGTGTTCATGTCATTTCCGCCTTTTGGAATGTCTTTGTTCATGCCTTTCTTTTAGTCTGTTGAAATCTTACATATAATCCTTCAAATCTCATCAAATTTTCAATTTTTCATAGAGCACTTTATCAACCCTTCTTTGCCTCTGCGAGGTACTCGGATTATACTTCTTTTGTCCTGCCTGATATTATAACCATTAGTAATCTTCTCTTAACTGTCCCAGCTTGATTGTAAACTCTCAGGACAAGAAGGTATTGACTTATTTTATATTCCCCCGGAATCTTGAATGTGTGTGTGTGTGTGTGTGTGTGTGTAGTGGGTTTCCTACTCAGGTTTGATGAACTCAACTACAACAAAATATTCTAGTTCAATTCTTGGGGATCTATTCTAGAGAAGGTTGGTAATAAAAGAGCTCCTTTGAAAGGACAGATCTGATTGTCCTACCTGGGCTTTGAACACTCCAGAGAATTAGGTGAGGTCTAAAACAAACTGGATCCTAAAACTTATTGGAAGCAGCAACACCATGGTTAGATCCTATTCCTCAGCTCAAGGTGGCAGGGACATGAGAAAATGAGATAATTATTGACAGTAAAACAAAAGAATCTCTGTGGCTGAGAGACAGTATGAGCTGAATATATATGAAGAGCGTACTTTTCTATCTGTAAATTATAGAAGGAACATTGGAGTTATATCTGTATCTTCTTGAGTTTGACTACAACCTTCTTGTACAAAAATATTATTTGTTATGAGGGTTAGAGATGAGTGTTACTCAGAGAGGCAGCTTTTATGTTTTGCTCTTTAAGAGTCTTTCCAATTCTCAAACTTACCCTTCTCTAACTTTTAGGGCAGTTGAATGTCTTCTAACTGAATGATCTCAGCAGGACATCCTGAGCTTCTAAGGAGGTTAGCATTCCAGCAAACATTTGGCTTAGAGAATTCCTAAAAAAATAGTACTCTGAAGGCAGTTAAAATTTAAGGAGCCAATAGAAGCTGTATGTGTGTGTGTGTGTGTGTGTGTGTGTGTGTGCGTGTGTGCGTATGTGTGTGTGTTTCAGCCTCTGGAATGTGAGAGCTAGTATTCTCTCTAGTAATTTGTTTTTCTCTCTCACACTGATTACATACTCAGATTTGAAATGTAATAGAGTGCATATTATGTTATTCTCAGAATATTTGAAAGGAAACCAAACATTCCTTCCTTCAGGAGTCAGTTTTCCTAGTTGTGGTGTAGAAAAAAGTGACCTCTCAGAGAAGCCGATGAAATGACAGATTACTTTTTTTAAAATGGACTTAAATTTTCTGCAATATTCTAAATCTGAATCATCTGCTGAGTAGCTTTCCTTTTTGTGTATATATTTTAAAGTGCCAGTCATGGTTGAATGTTAATAACCAATCTGGCCATTGATCTTCAAAGATACAGAATGTCTTTCTAAATGTGCTGATTGTTGTGTTTAATATAATTTTAGTTTTGTTCTTGGTGAAGAGAGGAAGGAGAGGTCAGTCATATATTTGTGGGATTTGTATGTTTGTTCTTGACATTTGAACATTTTTGAATCTTTCCTTATCCATTTAATCTTTTATCCATCAAATATTTAATCTGCGCCTATACTATGTGCCAGGCTCCGTGCTAGGAGCTGGGAAGTGTCTGTGAAGCAAAAGCAAAGTCCTCATAAGAGACAAATAAAGAACAATTTCCAAGGGGGAAAAAAAGCTTCAGACAGTCCTCCGATAACTGCCCCTTCAGAGCCACTCTTGTCTGCTACTGGCCCCATACAAACCCTCTTCCCTCCTTTTATAACCCCACAGCCCCGGAGACCTTTGTGTGCCTTAGAGGTCAGCTCACAGATGTGGCCCTGGGACGCACTCCTCTTTATCTATATTGTACTTACAAGAGATGGAGGCTCATGGGTCTTTTCTAATTTTTTCCTTTTTCTTTTTTTGATTAGCATCTGCACAAATGGCCTCAGTTCATTGCTTTAAACTAACTAATCCGGCTTGTTAAGACAGAGCTTGTCATCCACAAGTTGTTATTAGCAGGCTTCTAAAGGAAGAGGGTCCCAGTCAAAGCAGGGCGGGCTTTGGAGAAAGGTTATATAATATAATATGTTCTTCAGGCGCCGTATGAGAGGGAGACAATGCTGCCTCCCAGGGCCTGTTCTCAAGAGCTACTTTACAGGCTTACATAGTCCTGCCTATTCTACCTCATGAAAAGGGAGATCCAATCATTGCTTTCTGGAAACTATTCTCCTCATCTCTTTGGCTGTCATATGTATTTAACAGTAGTGCCCTCAAGGACAATGGGTGGGGGGTGGTAAGCATGCTAGGGGCTCCGGCCTACAGCCTGTAGTTTTTCATTTCACGTTGCTGGGTTTTCTAAGAATGGTCTTCTTTGTTTCCATTTTGAGTCATGGCTGAATTCTTATATGTTGTCTGATCTTCAAGCTCAAATACCCAAGGGACCAGGCAGCTGTGAATCAACCCTGTGCGTGCGTGTGTGTGTGTGTGTGTGTGTGTGTGTGTGTGTGTGTGTTTTCTAGGAGGTACTATAGCAAAGAAGACAGTATACTTTTCCTTATTTCTTTAAATCGATAGGGATTTGGAGGAAAAGACTTTAATAAAATAGAATTGTGACTGATTATTTTCCCCTTTCCGAGCACTTCTGTGAAATCAGAAGGTTATGAATAGCATGAGGAAAAAAAAATAATAAAAAACCCTTTTCTAAGGCAGTCCTGTGGGTTTAAGCCCAAACCTTAGATTTATAATAAAAGCTCAGTGTCTATATGCTAACCTCCACCTTATGAGATGGATCTCTTTTCTGATGGCAGAGTATAAAGAAATCTTCCACATGCTTTCACTTATTGGGAAGGTACACAGTTGCTTATCTGTTGTTTTTCTTCCACATAGTCTACATTGTGATTTGGAAATTTGACATCATGTATTTTTTTCCCCAGGCCAGATGTTTTATCCTGCTATGTTAAGTCATCTTGACATGTTGCCATGAAATGGAAACAACTGCTCGTTTTAATATTGCTCCATATCTTTATTACAAGGTACGTCTCATGCATCTTAATTCCTCGTATTTTCCCTCACTGTCGTTCTCTGATCTTCTTCATCCCAACCCCCCTTTACTCCTGAAGAAGGCATATTGTAATTGCATGACAGTCGTGTCCCGGTAGCTAAAGAGGTTCTAGATAGCATAATGAATATGCAGCGTATTATCTCCCAGGATGTGTGCCTGTGTCTTTAATCACAGCTGGAATGCAAAATCGAGCTCCACCTTTCAACTCTATCTCCATCATGCTGAGAGAGTGAGAGAGAGCGAGACGGAGACTGCTAGACAGCTCGAAAGAGATTGCAGCTCAGATGTCCTGAAAAACAGCAAATCCCTCAGACCTGGCAGATTCCGTTACCATGAGAACTGCAGATATTTCCATTGTGATGGTTCGCTCCAACAGCCATCTGTTACACCCATTTGATTAGGAAGTACAGTTCAGCTTGCATGGGATTTTCATCACACCTTATCCCAGGGCAGTATATAGAGGCGCTTGCTTTTTTATATGCTAAACTCCAAGGGTTCAAAGTACTGTAATTTACCAAGGTGGAGGGCATTTAATGAAATGTATGAGAAGGTCACTAAAGACCGAAGTGCCGAGAAGAAATACACACAGGAGATGTAAGAGAGGATTAGACTCCACAGCTGAAATGCAACCAACTCTGAAAATTAACCAAGTTTAGCCAACCCTTCCCTTGGTAGAGAAAAGTAAAATGAAGACCTGGGATCTGAGATCTTGCATCCTGAAGGGTGGAAGATGTATTTGTGCAGTCATGGCATGAGTATTACTGGAGCAGTAATTCTTTCTCAGGACTCAAGGACAGTCAAAAGAAAGGGAGAGAGAGGTAGTGCCTCAGACACATCTCATCAGTGGAGATGAATCCACTGTATAAAGATTACATTAGCTCTAAAAATTTTATGATGCCATCTAACTTTTCTGTAGACACAAAACGACCTTAAAAGTTCCTTGAAGCAGTGCTGTAATTCACAGATTTAAACCAGTTATTTGGACTAGTTGCCCCTCTGTGTATTTTTGTGGGGGAGGAAATGCTGATGGTACATCATATAGACATAAAAATAGGAATTTCCTTCAATTAAGATTCTCCGAATACCCTTCCCTGGTGGTAGGCATTCTAAGTCCAGGCTTCCAAGAGGGCCAGCATGGTCTAGGAGGAGCTACCTAGAGTGTCTTAAATTGACTGGAGCTCCTGTAAACCTGGGAAGCTAATTAAATGCTTACACACCAACATGATTTTGTGATTGCTGCACAGGGGCCCTTGATGTGGCCTCCCTTTGTTTTCCAGCCTACTTTTTCTAGGATGGACTCTGATAGTATATAACTCAGGTTGCGTGAAAGCAGCCAAATTTTCCAAAGTTGCTAAGTTTGCAAGTCTCATTATATCACATTTTGTCTGTTGGTTTGTTTTCTGGGTGACTGTTTCTGAACAAGGGAAATGCTCTCCCTATCTGATTGCACTGAGGGCTGAAGAACTTTTCATCTACTCTCCTTCCTGGCCTGGTGTCAGGTTGCCATCCAGGTAGGCTGGGATGTCAGAAGAAACCAGAAAACTCATTCCCTGCTTTAATGCCAAAGATGTATTTGTGGTGTGAAAGAAAAAATTCTTCATGGCACTTGTTCAAGATGGTAAGGCAGACATTATTCAAGTGGGGCTATGGTGATGGGCATAGGGCCCACTGGAACAGGGTCTTGCAGTAGGGGAGAGAGACTGAGCTGGACTCCGACTCCGACAAAGACAAGTGGGGATTTATAACCGAGGAGCAGGGTGGGGGCCGGTAGATGGAAAATTGCTAAAAGGAAAACAGGGGGGATTAGGGGGATTCTTGCTAGACTGACTCAGTAGAATTCTTGTTGAAGGCAGACCAGGGTGATAAGATGTAGAGGGTGGTCAGAAACAAAGGGTGGGGATTTTCAGTGACTGACTTAGCAGGATTCCTTCTCAAACTGGATTCCAAAGGAGAGAGAGGGAAGTCCAATGTTGTCCTAGTCAGAAAGGATTCAGAGGAGCCTGACCCAAGTTTGGTCACAAAAGAGAGTCTTTGTCACTGGCCAGATAAAATCAGTAACGAGGACCATGGAGATTAAAAATCAGAACAAGATGTTGTTCCTTTTTTTTTGCTGAAACATAGTGGATTCTTCTACTCTGCAGTGGAAAGACTCAGACTTCACAGATGAGGACCTGTGTTTTCCTTGAATGAGGAACCAACTAGTTTAGCCAGCAACTGAAGGTATAAATGAGTCTCCGTCCCTCCTTTGCAAGTCGAAAGTTAGGAGGCTCTGCTCCTCCATCCTAGCAGCAAATGCCTGGCACTGCAGATCCTCCAGTGGTGTTGACTTTCTGTCAGTCGTACACCCTGGAGATTGCCCTTTCTCGAAGGTTTTGAGGCAGGGCTCTGGTTTTATGAACACAGCGTCTGTCTTTGAAAGGCAGCAGATGCAATGAGGGCCTGAATTGAAACAATAAATACTATTCAGGTTTCCTGCTCGGAACTTCTTATATAGTGGTTCCTTTGTTAGAGCAAACATGGACTAAAATGCCTTCTCCCTTCCTCCCCGCTCCCTCCAGCTCCTCTCCACAGCTAGGATCTCAGCCACCTTTGGAAAGCAAAGGTTAAGTACCTGAGGCAGAAAGAGTTGAAACACAAAGGAGAGGAAATCCAAAGTATCCCTTACTTGCCAGAAAGAGTGTGAGTAGGGCAGAGAGCTTTTGGGGAGGGGGATGAATTTTAGTTGAAGCTGGAAGAGAAACAGACCTTGGAGGGGAGTGCTAGCTAGAAATATTCTCCTCCGAGCTGGGATGTTAACAGTGGCACCTTCTGACTTAATGTGGCATCTTTCTTCATCGTTATCAATCTCATGAGAGCTTTCCTGCCATCTGCACTATTCCTGCTTCAGGCTCCCATATGAAAGTCCAATCTGGCAGCATAAATACTGGCTAATGAAGAGTAGATGTCTGACTGCCTGGGAGAGAAGCGATCCTGTGTCATTGATGGAGCAGAATTCATTCATTTAAAACAAAATCTGCATTTACACAGCCATTCAAGAAGAAATTCTCTCCCCTTCTCTCTCTCTCTTTTTTCCCCTCCCTATACTCTCTCATCCTCCTTTTTTATTTTCTTCCTGTGTCATTCTACATGAATGGAGTTCATGCAAAAGTCAGCATAAAAATGGTCTTTGCCCAGAATGTTATACCTTGGAGATTAAAAATAGGAATGCGATGTGGACTTGCCGACATGTGGTGGGCTATTTTTTTCCCCTTCAGTGGGAAAGCTATAACTACATAGATTAGCAAAACTTGTGCAAGAATGGATGTAAAACAGATTTATCTCTGTGTCAGCTTTATCTGATCCATTTGGTCTTGCAGAGTTTGGATGGCTTCCTTTGTTACAATAACCAGCTTTCAAACATCTATATCCCCAGGGTATTAAATGTCAGCCTCCCATGTACCAGTCAAGGATAGAGGGTTGGCAGTCTGTGGGCTGGAGGAGTACTCTTTGTGTGCACATGAGAGGAGTTGCTCCTGTACCAAGGCTGGCTCCTGGTATGACCTAGAGGAACTCCTACAACCTCCCTGCATCACAGCATCACAGTGGAGGGGTGCTGAAGCTTGCAGCAGCCATTAATATCCTTTTACAAAGAATTCAAAAAGATTTCCTGTCACTGACAAGGACAGATTTGTTAGAGGTCTCTCAAGGAAATGGACAATAACTAATTAATTGAGCACTCCATGACTTTCTGTACTGTCGTTTTTCATTTATCTGTTCTAGTTTCTCATCATGCAGGTCTAGCTCTTCTTTTTCTTTCATTCCTTCTTTTATCTACCTCTTTCATTATTTCTGTCACCCTCTCCTTTCCCCTCTTATCTCATTTTCTCCCAGATCTCTTCTCTTTCTCTTTTATATAATCTATACGTAAAAAAAAAAAAGATCCCTAGTAGAGTACACATATGTAAAGATTTTATCCTGGAATATGGGTACATTTTCTCTGAGTCTGATAACTGTCATCTTTTAGGGTTGGAATAGGCCTCAGAAGTTTCCTCTTTGTACTTGATAGATACATAATCTTCAACATCCTTGACAAGGTATTGCAAAGTTTTTGTTAAAAAAAATCCTACTGTGCCCAAGTGGTGCATTATTATTATTATTACTATTATGACTATCCAGGAATGATATACTCTGTGTGCTGTAGAAAATAAGGAACCATGTTGTCTCAATTTACAGAAAAATTATTGAGTGCCTGTCTAATTAAATGGCATTTCATCAGACCCTGCAAGCAGTTCTGTGGCTCTTGAATGCTAAATGTAGATATTGCCTTATCCTCATAACTGTGCTGCCTGGCTCACTGGGTTGGAGCAGGGTGCCAGTGAGCTCAAGGTCTCCTGCTCCTTCTGTCACTTCTGCACACGGAGAATTGGAGTTCCTTAGTATGCACTACCTCTGTTCTCATGCCTGTCTATGTGAAGAAACACAGGGCATGGAGTGAGGTTGTTGGAGAGAGAGAGTTTTAGATAAAAGCAGACAGACCTGGGATTGAATCCTGGCTCTACCACTTTCTTTGTGTATGTGGCCTTTAGCAATCAGTGGACCCCCTTCGTGCCTCAATGTTGTCATCAGAAAAGTAGGGATACCAGTATCTTGACTCACAGTAAACTCATGGTGTGAATCAAATGAAGTAAGTCTTGAAGTGTTAGAAACTGAGTGCTGACTCTAGAGTGACCAACTGTCCTGGTTTCCTGGAGAGTGACAGGCTGCTAGAAACACAAGACTTTAAGTGCTAAAACCAGGACAGTCCTGGGAAAACTGGGGTGGTCAGTCATCTTACTCAGGGCAACTTATCCCCTTTGGAGGACCCAGACACAGCTTAAACAAGTACCCCAAGGGGTGATGGAACTTTCTCTGTGGTTGAAGAAGGTCTTGTTTTCTTCTGTGGACTAGTTGCCTGCTCTATTGCGGATTTATGTATGGATTCTTTTTTTTTTTTTTATTTTCAACTTTTATTTTAAGTTCAAGGGTACCTGTGCAGGATGTGCATATTTGTTACATAGGTAAACAAGTACTATGGTGGTTTGCTGCACAGATCATCCCATTACCTAGGTATTAAGACCAGCATCCATTAGCTATTCTTCCTGATGCCCTCCCTCCTCCTGACCCCAGCCCTCTGACAGACCCCAGTGTGTTGTTCCCCGTCAAGCGTCCATGTGTTCTCATCATTCAGCTCCCACTTGTAAGTAAGAACATGTGGTATTTGGTTTTCTGTTCCTGCATTAGTTTGCTGATGATAATGACTTTCAGCTCCATTCATGTCCCTGCAAAGCATATGATCCCTTTCCTCTTTATAACTGCATAGTATCTCATGGTGTATATGTATCACCTGTTTTAATCTAGTCTATTATTGATGGGCATTTAGGTTGACTCCGTGCCTTTGCTATTGTGAATAGTGCTGCAGTGAACATATGCATGCATGTATCTTCATAATAAAATGCTTTTTATTCCTTTGAGTATGTACCCAGTATTGGGATTGCTGGATCAAATGATATTTTTTGCCTCTAGGTCTTTGAGGAATTGCTAAACTTTCTTCCACAATGGTTGAACTAATTTACACTCCCACAATGTAAAAGCATCCTTTTTGTCCACAACCTCGCCAGCATCTGTTATTTTTTGACTTTTTAATAATTGCCATTCTGACTAGTGCGAGATGGTAGATCTATGGATTCTCAGCTCTGGTTTATAGAAAGCTTACTCACTGACCTTATCCTCAATATCTCAAAGGGTAGCCTAAAACTTAAAAATAAAAGTATGAAGATATAAAATGAAGCAAATTCCTCCTCCGAGTCAGAGCTTATTCATTCTTCAAAGCCCAGTACATTTATTATTCCATTCATGAAACTTTTGCCCATGTCCATCTTTTAGCATGATTCAGTGCTTTCCGAGAGCAGTGTATTAGGTTATTGCCTTCCCTCTGGCTTGATTTTTAAACTCCTTGAAGGCAGAGAGCCTGCCTTATGTTTTCTGATAAACCATTGAATAAGTGAATCAATTAAAGAATGAATGATTTATAAGTAGGAAAATGAGTCAGAGGGAATAAACGAATGAATGAGTGAATGAATGCATGTATAAATGAATGACTTTTCTATGTTTATTAATCAATTACGTGTCTTTTTAGTCTTGATCTGGCCCTGTTGTGGATTTTACATATGTCTAAAAGTTTTGACCTTCAAATCCCAGATACTAGTTCTTGGCTTCAGCTTCCATATTAAATTCCTAATACCTAAAAGGACCCAGCTCATTTTGGGGGCACCACTTGCTGATAAGCTGAGAGAATATAACTTAGTTTTTTCTTTATAATTTTTTGAATTAATTAAAAAACTAAAGTACAAACTGCCTATGCCAAACAGAAAAAATTATTTAAACTACTCATGAGTCTAAAATGAAAAGTAAACATTTATCTTGTCTGTTTCCCTCCTGTACCCCAATTTTATCCCTATGAAATTCAAGTTTCTGCTTTTAGATTTTTGGTGGCTACAATTAAAATTATAAATCATAGAATTTTATGTTTTTTTAACATATCAACATTTTAAAGTATATTTTGACATCCTGCTACAGAAATTTGAGGTATTTGGTTATTGTTAGTATTGTACACCTTCCCTCCCCTTCTTTATCTCTTGAGATTTTTATTGATATTCCAATGGTTAGCTTTATACCTTTACAAATTCTCCATTCTCTGATGACTTATATTTAGACATTATGTATAGAATTCCCACTATGTAGCACATTTGTGTTTATTTCTGCATCTCCCCTTTGTTCTAGATTTTTGTTGCGCTTATTTTTATGTTGTCAAGTTTTAAAATATTTACGTTCTGTTGTCACTACAATTGTTTTTGGTAATGCTTTATCCATGGGTTAAATTGGATTGCAATTATTAACCAAGAAAAAGTAGTATCTATAGAACTTATCCATGTGAAGAGATTGGATCCAAAGAGAAGGGAATGTTGTCCCAAATAACTCAAAAGATCCTAAGCCACAGAAACCAGAGTTTTCTCTCTTCATTTCTTTGAAGCTTGCTTTTTTTCTGGGTCATGCTCAGATTCTATTTTTTTTTCAAATATTTATCTCATTTTTCTTGTCATATTCCAATTTTGTTTCACTGGAGCCCTTCATCAGAACTTTAAAAAATATGAAACATAAGGGAGCAACATTTAATAATCTTTGAATATCTAAAACTGTCTTTATTTTTACTTCACTTTTGATTGACAGTTTGGCTAAGTATATATTTCTAATTTCAAACATCTTCCTCAGAACTTTGAAGGAATTGCTCCCTTATTGCTGTTGAGAAGTATGCTATCATTCTGATATTGTTACTCTGTAAGAACCTCCCTTCTTTATGATAATTTTTAGGATTTTTGAAATTTCACCAAGATTTGTTCAGATATGTGTTGTTTCTGTTCACACATTAACTTGGTAGGTCTTTTCATTATTATTATGTATTTGTTTTAGAGACAGGGTCTTGTTCTATTGCCCAGGCTGGAGTGCAGTGGTATGATCATAGTTCACTGCAACCTTGAATTCCTGGTCTCATGGGATCCTTCTGCCTTAGTCTGTCCAGCAGCTGGGACTACAGGCATACACCATCGTGTCAGGCTGAGTTTTAAAAAATTTTTGGAGACAGGGTCTTGCTATGTTGCTCAGGCTGGTCTCAAACTCCTGGCCTCAAGCAATCATCCTGCTTCAGACTCTGAAAGTATTGGAATTGCAGGGGTGAGGTAGTTCATCCAGCTGGTCTTTTCATTCTTACGAATTATCTCTTTCTTTACCCCTGGGATTCCCACCCACCTTTATTCCTTTGATTATTTTTCCCCCTCTATTGTTGCAATTTTCTGCTTCTAGGAGTCAGATATATGTTGCCTTACTAGCTCTATCTTCCACAAGCTCATATTTTCTATCTCTTTTCATTTTTGCTCTTTTTCATGAGAAATTTTCTCTATTTATCCAGTCTTCAACCTTATTTGTTGTGATTATCTATTCCATACATTGAATTTTTTAACGTTCAGTAATCATATTTTTAATTTGCCAACATTTGTTCATATACTCTGATTACTCTTATTTCATGGAAGCTTTTATAATCTATTGATTTTTTATGTGTGTCCAACACCCACTCACATATCTCTAAAGACACATCTGAAAACATTTAATAATTATTTTCACTTTTCTGAATCATTTTTATTTCTTCTGATGTCATATTGAGTTCATCTTGTTTTAATGTAAATTGATTTCCTCAAATGTCTTGTGATCCTGATTATAGATGAAGGAGTGGTTTGATTCATATAAGTAACTTCCATGGGATTTTCTCTGCAGTTTTTAGAAGTCTGTTTTCTCAATAGGCTTCTCTTTCAATTGGGAGGTCTTACTTAGGGCTCCAAAAAGGTGAACAGATGGGGAGATTCTCAGGTAGGGTTCATAAACAAAGAAGAAGCATGTAGATTGGCAAACTTATCACAATCTCCAAAGTAATAGAAATTTACTCTGGAGTTAGAAAACTTTAGTTTATTTTACTCCTAAATGGAGCTGACTTCTCCTGTCTCCCATCCATCTGGTCTAATGTGGAAGTGTATAGTCATCTATTCAAACTCTTTCAGGCCCTATCTCCTGTACTAACTCCCTTTCCAGTTACAGTTCTAATATTCCTAGAGAGAAGTTGTCATGCTTTATCCTGAGGGCATAAAATGCTGCTGCCATTCTCATAGGCTCTGTACGCCTGAGGAAACAGCAAAGGTCTGATTAAGACTCACACTCCTATTGTAATTGTGTAGTTTATTATCCTGATAATGAGTCCTCTACCCATTCGGGCTCTGTCATATGCTTGGGAAGGACTGCTTTGTTTATTTTTAAGCTATGGTTTTCCCAACTCTTATTCTTCATTGAACTTGTCCTAGCTGCTTTATATTTTACAGGATTTCTTCAATATTTCTTGTGACAGCTGGCTTCCTTTATATTTGGTTTCATAAAAAGTTTTTTTTCTATCATATCAATATATCAACATGACCTCAGTAAATGGGGAGGTGATGCATGTGCTGGGTCTTTCAGTTGGAAATGCAAGACAGAATACAATTTTTGAGAAAATGTGTATAGAGTTGGTGGAACGCTTGATGAACTTAAAAATGTTCCTGTTTCATTTAAATGACGTCTTCCCTTTGACCAAACATACAAATTCTTCATTTCATTGTAGACCTGGCCTCCTTTGCCTTCTACCTCAAAGGCCCAGATGCCTTTACACTTTCTCTCTGAAATTTCTTTTGACTTCTTTAGCTCAGCTAGAGTCTTTCTGGAACTCCAGAAGCACTTCAAGTCAGGGTCAGAGAGGTGAATGCACAAGACATTTTCATAGGTTTTTCCTGTTTGTTTTCTACCCCTAAACTGGTGATAAAATGCTTCAGGACTGACCCATATATCTTTTTTCTTGTGTATTTGTGTAAGAAAGTGTGTGTTTTGGAAATAGAGTGGGGTTTAGAGGGTAAAAGGATGTGGTCCGCTAGCCCCACAGAGCATGGTTACTAAATACTTGTCGATAAATTAAAAAACAATGAAAATTCATTCTCAAAGGAGCTTGACTATATACTGTTTCTTTTCCATAACCTTATTTAGGAATGTGCTAGAAATGTGCTGCTGAAACCTTGATAGAAACAAAATTTTTTAGTCTCCACAATTTTTAAAAAAACATTTTAAAATAGCCCATTAGTGCCTGAGGGGTTTAGGTTTGTAATACATAATTAGGCATTTTCCCCCGCAAGTCTGAAATCACATATTCTTGGGAATCCGACATCCCTGTAATCTTACTCTTTTCTTCTTTGCACAAGGAAGGTTGAAATATTAATTGCTGCATCAGCCACTTTAAGATTTAATATATATATTTTTTCCCCATTCTGGAGACTATGTACCTCCTATGTGACTTCTGTCTATTCTCACAGCTGTCTGAGAGATAAGCAACTCTATGTCTGTGGAAGTAATCTATAAATCATATTCAAATTCATGTGTCCAAATGATCCTTTCTTTAATCTCTAAAATAACTCTACTGGAGACTTGCTAGTGAACTTCAATTGAAAACATTGTGTTTTCCACCTACTCATATTCCTGTCAAATATGTTAGTGTCAGAAAAAGAATAGAACTGGTGAAATAGGCCTTCAAACTCTGCTGGCTAGAGAGACTGCATGGGTAGAATAGGGCACCTGGTTCAAATCAGTAAACCTTGGCTTTTGAAAGCAAGCTAGAAAAATGAGGATGAAGTAACTTGGTTGCTGCTAGAAGAGACATCTCTTGTGAATTGTTTTTGTCAAGCCATTGCTCCCAAAGAGAAAATGTCTTGATTATAATAATCATTTAATATTCTTAAAATATGCCAAAAAGAGGTATAGAGGTGAGTTACCATGTGAGTATCAGAAGGTACCCATGGCTTACAGTTTGGCTCAGTGGCACTTCAAGTTCTGCGTCATCTGAGCCATTCTACCAACTTAACCTTCTCTCCAACCTCTAGTCCTAGTGGGTTGGAGTTATTCCCATTCCCTGCATATGCCATGTTCTACATATTCACATTTCCATGCCTTTCCTCCTGCCATTTCTCTGTCTGGAATACCTGTATTTATTCTTCCTTCATCTTCAAACCTTTTCTAATGAGCAAGTAATCTCTCTAAGACATTCCTCAAAATCAAAGAACTAAATGATTTCTTACTAAAATTCCAATTTATTCCTAATAGTCTATCAGCTGGATAGGATATAGAGAAATATTTATAATTAACATTTATTCAATGCCCACTATATGCCAGACATTAGACTAGGTCATATGTTTGGAACATTATTCAAGTCAACTATCATACCTTGCACAATTTCTAATTTGTAGAAAAAGAAACAGAAGTTATCCACCTAGTAACTGGAAAAAGTATTATTTGAACTCATGTCTATCTGACTTCAAATTCCATGTACTTTTCCCCATACCATGATGTTCATGCCAATAGATTCACAATCTAGTTTTGGTGTGAGATAGAGACAGAGATATATAGAATCATACACCACTATAATCTCAAAGTTGGGAAGATTTTTTGACATCATATAGTTCAGCCCTCTTTTGGATACTGAATATTTTGTATATCATAAAAATGAAAAAATAATTTATATCAGAAAAGCTTCAGCAACAGGAATTCCATACTTGTCATGTTGGATGAATGGACGTGGGTGAAACTTTAAATTTGTCTCTGTTGAATGCCATATTGACAGCTTTGTCTCTTTCACCAGCCAATTCAGAAAATTTTGTAACTTTATTTGGTCATTCAATATTATCATTTTCCCTCCAGGTTGTATATTTTTCCCAGAGTGCCATAAATATTACCATTCTGCCATTGACAAAAATATTCTTGAAATAGACTCATGAGCATACCACTAGAGCTCTCCTAGCTGGTTGACAACAGTGCAATGATTGGCATCCTTTGGGCATCCTTTCTAGATAATCATTTGATTATCTAGATCAGCAAAGGTACTTTTGCTCTTAGATTTTTGGGAAGGAGAGACTTTGTTACATACTTTGGTGAAATGCAGAGCATTGCATGTATTCTATTTTCCTATTATACCTTTCTAAAACCCCTGCACAGGAAGGAATTAAGCTAGTCTTGTGTGACTTGTCCTTGATGAGCTCAGGTTGGCATCATAGCATCTTTTCATTTCTTTCCAATTCTGCATAAGCTGCCTATTTGCTAATCGGTTCTAGACTTTGTGTAAAAAATGATACAGATGACTTATGACATTCAAATTCTTGCAATTTTGAAAAAATAGGACATTGAAAAAACAAGAAACAGTGACTTGGTCACAAATAGTCCATAATAAAGCACAATGTTGATTGACACAGCACTTGTGGGAGAATAGCAGGGCACAGGGCAATCAAGAAAGTCTTCTTGGAAGAGGTAAACTTTGGAGGATGCCTAGAATTGAGTTAGGAAGTGAGAAGATTACAGAGAATTCCAAATGATGGAAACAGGATGAGCAAAGATATAGAAGTTTCAGATATGAATGAGTTTGATGTGTTTGTGGGTCCAGACATTGTTGGTGTGGCTGGAATAGTGAGTACTTGCTGAAAAATATTGTGAATACAGCAGGATAGGCAGGGTGGATCTTGCTTGTGGGATGGCCAGAGAATGCTGGCTTTGAATACCATGGTAGGATAAAAAGCACTGAAGGTTTTTGAGCAGAGGAGTGACCTGGCAAAGAGTAGCATGACAGTGGATGCTGCTAGCAGCTGTGTGCAGGATTGCACCGTGTGGAGAAGCTGCTGGAACCCAGGGGGTTTAATTGGAATGGACACAGTGATCCCAGCATGAGGGTGGAAGAGTCTTGCCTTGTGTAGGGATATTGGAACTGAATAGGAATGAATACAAGAGCCACTTCAATGAAAAAGAGGCCAGACTGGATGGTTGACTAACTCTTGGTGATGGAATTATTGAATGAGGGAATATGAGGAATGAAGGGTAGTGATGAGATCACCTTCATTCTTCACCATGAATATAACTCTTCTTGTCTTGGTGTTTGGGAAGATTCTGTTGTCATAAATAGAAACTCTGTAAGGGGTTGGAGTGGGCACATATACTTTGGTTGCAAAACTGGGTTAATTGGAAATAAAATCCTATACAGAAATGTTACTTTCAGAGGCCTTCTAAATACCCCTCTACCAAAACTTACATTTGGAGGTGAATGCATTGTAAGTATCTCTTTAAATATATATGTAGGAGCAGCAAAATAACCTCCCACCTCAGCTCTTTAGAGGAAATAAGAGGCTCTGTAACTATTGAGGAAAAATACATTCACCTTTAAATTATATTGTTTTAGAGGTTAAAAGTATATAATTTCCCAAGGAACACATCGCGATTCAGCCTGCTGGGAGGCTATTGCTCAATTACTCTCAGCAGTGGCGAAGGTGCCTACAATTCTTTCAGCTCTGTTTAAGCTGGTGGGAACAGAGGTTGTCCAGGCTGCAGGCTGACAGGGCATATTTGGGCCTAACAGGGTATGTGGTTCTGTCCCTTGGGCCATAGTCCCTCTGCTGATATGCCAGAAGCCTGCCTAATCACAGGTTGCCTGCACAGGTGGCCCTGGCCTCTGTGCCCCAGGCCTGTTAGTTAATTTCTCTGGCTGGTATGTCTCTGAGCACGTTCGTGTACCAGGCTCCATCCCCAGGGTATGACCAAGTGGAAAGATCCATGTAGTTTCTCGTCTCTGTGAAAAGAGGTCATATCTGGGATTAGCTGATTGAAGGGGCCCTGGTGGCTGCTGGGATGACCCTGCCCTTGCAGGTGTGGACTCTGTCACCTTCAAGCTGCAAAGGCCTTGGTGAACAAGATGAGCTGTAGAGTGGCTCAGCAGGCTCCGGGCTTGTGGCCTGAGAATGCATCTTATTAGAGATACAGCTACTTGTTACTGGGCATCGTGAGGGGCTGTGGCCATCTTAAATTTTCGTTACTTTAATAATTTAGAATCTGATGTTGTCAGAGGCTTCCAGTGTGACACAAGGGGGTCATCCCCTGTTTGCATGTACACACCAACGTGTAGATCATCAATATAGACAATGTGCTTTTCTGTATTTTTCCTATGTGCACCATGTCTTGATGTTCTGGTAATTTTAAAAAATAGAATTATTGAAACTCACTGAACAGGATTTTAGGGGTATCTTTCTTGCTACTACACTTCCTTAATTTTTTCAATTTGAATGTGACTTGGCATAAGCAGAAGCAGTGCTTGACTTAGGCAAAGGGTGGTGGAGAGAATTAATTGGTAGCTTCAAAAAGTAGTAGAGAGAAGAAATCACCCAGTAGTAGAGAGAAAGCAGGGGTGGTGCAGGAGCCTGGGGAGCTCCCATCCCCTCACCTCCTTCCTTTCAGGCCATCCATCCCTCCCACCAGCAAGCCTTGAAAGATTGTTTGTTAAGGCTCTGGAGAAATAAGCAACCAAAACAAATCCACTGCAATCAATTCTCAGGTTGATTCTGGTCTGCAGTTTTAGATTTTGGGAAATGATCACTGGCTCAGGTTAGAGATTTATAAACAGGCCCCAATGTCAGTCAAAGGCAGGCAGAGCATCAAGAAAGGAAAATGCTAGAATCTTTGACTCATCAAAGAGAATCGGTAGCTTTTCCAGCTCTCCTCTCTCTTTCTCAGCATCTCTGTTGGTAACAAGGAGAGTTTGGAAATTGTTTTTTAGCAAGTGCATTTGAGGGCAGGTTGAAGGGAAGTGACACATTGACAGGTGACTGTGGGAACAAACCTGGAAAATGATGGTTAAAAAAAAGGAGCTGCTGAAAAAGAGGGCCTCCCAAAATCCCTTCAATGTTTAATTGCAGGTGTGCAGCTGACCCGTGTACACTGGAAACTTCAAGGGAAGTGGCAGCATATCTTCTTCCCTTTGAAAACACAACAGATCTTAAAACAGCCTAATGATAGAAGCAGCAGCCCCAGCCCCAATTATTTAGGACTGGCTTTGATGGTATTTCCTGTGTGCACTCCATCTGCAGTTTGGTTTATGCAGCTCCATCCTCTACCTTTGTGCAGGCTTCCTACATCATCACCATCATCATCAACATCATCATCATCATCAACATCATCATCATCATCTTTGTCATAATAGCAAGTAACATGTAATGATGTTTATGCTGTGCCAGGTGCTATACTCAGGGATTGTTTTTCTCCATGAAGTAAACCTATGGGGCATTTATTGTTGTTATTTCCCATTTTATAAAAGGGGGAATCTGAGGCTTATGGTATTAAGTGCTTTGTTCAAGTCACACATCTAGTAAGTGATTGAGTCAGGGTTCAATTCAGGAAGGCTGCCTCCAGAGCCTCTATGCTGTAAATGAACAGATGGGTGGCTGAATGGATGGTTAGATAAGCAAATGAATGGATGATTTTCGGTAGGCTCTCAAGCAGTGTTCTCTTTGCCCTGGCTTACAAATTCATAAAACCCAGGGGAGTGGGCTGTGGCATCCCTCTGCAGTCCTCACCAGTGGTAGGCATTTGCTTCCTATTTGGGGTGTGTGTCCCTTGCTCAGATGCTCAGCTTTCCTGGGGCAGGTTGCTGATGCCTCTGGTGAGCCCCATAACAGCGCTTTATGGTAGCACTGGGCAGGGTATCTCTGAGAGTTCCCAGGAACCCCAGGGGAGAGGAGCATCTTCAACCTCATGTACCTTAGGTCTCCTAGTGGTGCTTAATTCAGAGGTACCAGGTCAAGTACCCCTCTCCATGGGTGGAAATAGGGAAGAAGGGGAGGCAAGTTCTCAGTGCATTAGTATTAATTGTTTCCATTTACAAAGAGACTAGTATGTGCCCGGCAGCATGCTAGGTTGCTATGAGCATGGTCTCATTTACTTACTGTAACCCAATAAAGTACCCACTTTATTACTATTTAATTAATGAGGAAGCTAAGACCCAGAGTTAGTTAATTAAGATATTAATAACACATAACAGCAGCAAATAAGTTTTGAGCACTTATTATGTTCCATGCTGGGGATTTTTCATACATCCTTTCATGTAATGCTCCTAGTGGCCCTCTGACATCCATTTGATTATTTCTCCCAATTTTACAGGGAGGCTAACTTGCTCCACGTTGTTTAGTGTGCACACTGAATGTGTGTTCATTTCACACACAAAAAATGACTTAAGATGTGGCACCTGCCCTCTTGGAGCTCACAATTCAGATGGGGAGAGGAAACTCTTTTATATGGAATAATTCAGGCTGTGTTTACAGATGGGTGTAAGAGTGAGCTGAGGCCCAGGGTGGTTTCAAGGAAATATTTCTCTCTAGGAGAAGGAACGGGGAGGAACCTATGGAGATTGTTAGTGAAATACCTCATTTCAATTATGTTGGAGGGGTTGCAGCAAGACATAGGGCCTCACAGTTGGAGGTCGTCAACATTTGTAAGACATTTCCCTTCTGAGGGGGGCAGTTGTATACATCAGTCTAGAATGGCTGAAATTGGCTATCTTCTTAAGAAAAGAGCTGGAGGGATGGTCCTTAGATATATCACTTAATGAACATTAAATATGTTCACATTGAATTAAGAAGAGCAGTGTGTGTTCTCAGGTGTGTTGAGAATTCACTCTTCACTCACCTGTCTAGTTGGAATAAATCGTTCATGGGGCTTTGGCTACAACCTGAAGAACTCACTTCTAGGATTCTCTGGGTGTGGAGTTAATGTCATCCAGACACCTATTTCTGCCTTATTTGAAGACACTGGGATCCGAATGAGGCAGAGCACTCTTCAGAGAGGGGATTTTTACCATTGTACATCTGTTTCCACTGCCTGCAGTGGTCAAATCTCCCCATTCCCTACCAAGCCAGAGGGGTCATGGAGCTCTGGGCTCAGATATAGTACCCTGGGAAATAGCCCACCCACATGTGGATGTGATAAGAGAGGCAGCATCTGGCGCAGAAACTGAAATCCAGGTTTGGAAACCATCCAATGGGTCACTCACCTGAAGGGGCTGCCAAGAGAAGTTGAATTCCCAGTGAAAACAGGAGCAATGGGAAGAAAGTGAAGCATTAGAGCAGGATATTAGAGATGGACATGGAGGACTTCCTGGATTCAGAGAAGGCGGCTGCAGGGATTTTCTAAGGCTCATTTGGCCTTGGGTTTGGACAAGGAGAGATCATAGGACATCAATTTTTCCTAGAATGAAATGTTCCCTAAAGCCTTCACTCACTTGGAAAACTCTTACGCATATTGTTCTCTCTCATTCACTTTGAGCAATTCGGTTTTGGGACAATGCAGTCTTATTTGCTGTACTTCCATCCAGCTCAAGGCATGTTTATTGACCCCATTATAAATTTAAAAATATAGTTATTTTGTTCTGCCCAATTTTGCTGTGAACCTAAAACTACTTTAAAAAATAGTCTATTTTTCAAAAAGATCATTTAAAAAATGAGATTAGTTCGAATATCAGCTCTTACAAGCTCAGAGTGCATGGGCAAAATCATATTTTGGAGCCTGGAAAGCTGAGTGGACCCACTGAATCCCCTTAGGCCCTGGCCCCCGTGAAGTCCAGCTGATGTCATCAGTCTCACTCTTCAACATCCCCGTTCTTTAAATTCAATGGGATTTGAGGCTGCTTCTGTCTCCTCTGCCGGTGGAATGTGCAGATGGCACTGGCAGCTGCTCAAGCTGGTACTCCTCCTCAATGCTTCTTGTTCCTCTGCTGGTGGACACTGCCGGTTGGGCCTCGTGCTGGCAGAGGCTGGAGAGCCCAGGAGGAGGGCAGCTGGGGAATCTGACTTTTATGGCTGAAATGAAAACTCCCCTGGGTGGCCTGGAGGAAGTGTTCTGACCCTCTCTGAATTACCCGCACTGAGATGGCCGTGGCACTTCTGACTCCACAGAAAAGCTTGAAGGTCCAATTTCCATCTTCAGGAGGGAAACATCTCCTGCTTCTGCCTTCAGACAGCCTTTCTCTGTGCTTCTTTGTGAGCCATTTCTGAGAACCGCCTGCATTCTGTTGCTAGTGGTGAATTGATTGAGAAGATCCTTTGTTGATAGTCCAGCTTCAAAAGCATGCAGGCTGCTGTTTGTCTTCTTTCTTCCTTCCAACGGAGGATATGCTCCTACAGAGGAGTGGGGAAAAACAAAAATGCCCTTTTTATTTACTTATAACTTCACTAAGCTTTTTGTAAAGGGGCCATAGTATCACTATTTTGTGGGTAAGTTGTATGATTTCCATACGTTTTAATTCTGTTAAATGGGGAGGGAGTAAATCAAACCATTTTGTCTGTGAAGAGTAAATTATGTTGTCAATGCTTATAGTTTTCTTTTCTTCAGATATTTATTTATTTGCATTTCAGCAAACATTCATTGAGTGCTTAATATGCGTTAAATGTAGATAAAATGAGATCCACAATTTTGAGGATCTTGTAGGCAGCTGGAGGGGAAACAGGTGAACAAACAACAGTAGTTTCTAGGGGAACTGGAGCAGCAAATCCTCTGATACTGACTATATATGAGGTCATATTCCCGTAAGGGCACTATGCAGGTCTAAATTGCCTTTATATGCCCCAAAACATCTTAGGTGCATCATGCATTTAGAAGGTATTAAACCAACATTTATTGAATGGATAACTAAATGAATGAATTGAATTTTGAATTCTATAATTCCCATATTCTTGCACGCTTTTTGTCTAACATAAGGATTACATTTTCTTGTGAGCTCCTTGGCTAACTTAAATGCTCCTCCCCGCCACCCCTCCGAAAAAAAGGATGTTCAACTTGATACTGGTTGGAGTTTTAAAGAAAGCATGTAGTCAGGCTCATGCATGTAATCCCAGCACTTCGGGAGGCTGAGGTGGGAGGATCACTTGAGGTCAGGCGTTTGAGACCAGTCTGGCTAACATGGTGAAACCCTGATGGCACATGCCTGTAATTCCAGCTACTCTGCAGGCTGAGGCATGAGAATCACTTGAACCTGGGAGGCAGAGGTTGCAGTGAGCTGAGATCGTACCACTGCACTCCAGCCTGGGTAACAGAGTGAGACCCTGTCTCCAAACAAACAAACAAAAAGCATCTAGTCAGATGTGGATCTTGCTTACCAAAGCTGGGGAGAGTAGCATTTACCTTGGGGAATTTTCTATGGTTTAGGGGCTGGATTTGGAGGATTCAGAAACTTAATACTTAGCCAATAACTCATCCAGAGGAAACACCCAAAGTGGAAGCCAGATGGGGCAAATGGATTGCAAAAATGGCCCCAATTCTTGGCTCCCCAATTTCCCACCCTTAGCAATGTGACTCTGTACCTGCTCCTATCAAGGGATGGAGCCTATTTCCCCACTCCTTGAATTTGGGTTATCCTGTGGTTTGCTTTGGCAAATTGAATGAAGTGGAACTGATGGTGTTCCAGTTCAAACCTAGGCCTCAAGAGACTGCTCACGCCTCCACTCTCAGATTCTTGCCACTGTCATGTGAACAAGACCAAACCAGCTTTCTAGAGGATGAGTCACCCCTGCTCCCACAGTCACCAGCCAGCCAGCTGCCAGAAGCCAGCCAATCTCTAGGCAGCTAGCCCTCAGCTGATCTACCGGGAGACTGCAGACCACCTGAGTGATCCCAGCCAATATCTGCCAAGGTTGGCCCAGATCAGTAGCACACCCAGCTGACCTACAGACTTGTGTGCAGTAATATGTGCATCTTGTTTTAGGCCACCAAGCTTTGAGATAGTTTATTATGTAACTATAACCAACTTGTATACCAGGATTCCCAGTTCTTCAATTACGTGTGAGAGAAAACTCAAGTCTCTCATACCAACTGACCCATGTTCACTGACTTAACCAGAGGTCTGTCTCCCAGCACTGGCTCATGGGGCACCACAGGACAAGGAGAGTTTGGAGAGTCAGGGCTTAGAACAAAGGGAAGTACCTGGTTGGAAGATCCCTGTGTTCAGTGGCCTTTAGCTCTGATGCACCCATTTCTACAACAGGAATGCTGAAAGCTCAGCTGTACGTATCTGCGGGATTCAAAGTCAGATACTCTGTATCACCTGGAATCTCAGAAAAAGAAAGGTCTATAAAGGCAGCCATCTAACATGTGCTGGATCCAGGGCCAGGATGGGGACGCTGGGCCAGGGCTAGGCAGATACTGGAGATGCTCCTCCTCATTTTTGTTTATTTTCTATGATGACCTTATAATATTCTGATTTCTGCTTCTTGCCTCAAGACTGTAATATCACCAATATAGTGAAGTCTTACTCTCGTCTAGAAGCCAGTCAGCATGGTTAAGGTGCCTGTAACTATGTGTTTATTTTATGGTATAACTCCAAGAGGGAGCTTCATTTTCCTTATCACTGAACTCTCTGAAGCCCTCACCATGCTGCCTGAGATGCTCTGGCCCAGCCTGCCTTCTAGAATTCTACTGCTCCTCTAGCACACTACTGGGCCATGAACTGTTAGTTACTACTCTGGGACAAAATAAATACAGAAATGGAAAGTGAGCATTAAAAAAATTTTATAACAACTTAGTATTGCTGTAACATACAAGACTTTGATTAGTAAACGTGTCATTGAAGAGGTTATTGACAGTTTAGGAGTTATTGAACTTGTACAGTGAGTCACAGGTGGTACAAACTGCATACTAGTGAAGTTCAGATGTAGTAGGACCATAAACCAGCCTGCAAAGGATTGGCAATAAAACACACACGCGCACACACACACACACACACACACACTCTCACTCAAACTAAACTAGGCTTTCACTAGAGAGAGTTTGAAAAAGCAAACTCATCTTAACTTTCAAGTCTTAGCTTAGCTTTTTTCTTCTGTGAAGGCCTGAAAAATATTCCTTATGCTGCCTGCCCTTTGTACATACCTTCATTAATAAAATTATTTTCTTATATAATAATTACTAATTTGCATTGATCTCTAGACTATGAAGATGTAGACAGTGCTGAATTAGCTTGGATTTGCATATGGGGCATAATAAAATTTTGTAATCGTTGTTGAATGACTGACTAAATAGAGGAAGAAATGTAGTTTCCTCTGCCCCTACCACCAAGGTTTCTTCTCATGGATATTTCTTTGGCACTCTGAATTCTGAAGAGGTGGAGAGGTGTTGTCTTAGATTTTGTCCTGTATTTAGATGAATGGCCCCTGTATTACTCAGCATGATTGAGCATGACAGCAAGTAAGTTAACTGGCTTAGACAGAAAGGAGATTTATTGGCTCTGATATCAAACTGTTGGATGGATGGGCAGGGGTACAGCTGGCCTTAGGGATGTCAGGAACCAGGGGCTCAATTTCCACCAGGCCTGTCTCTCATGTGCTGCCTTTGCTTCTACCTTACCCTGCATGCTAGTTTCTTTTCACCAAGTTTTGGGCACAGACAGGTGCTAGGTCACATCCTCTTAGCTTTGACTCCAGGGTGGAAAAAACTTTCTTCTCTTAGTTCCAATTTGGAAAGTTCTGGGGAAGGACTCTGATCAGTTTTTGCTGATTTCATGGTCCTTTCTGTGGCCTGAGGTGGTGTGGGGAGTTACAGTTGTCCAACCGCACTAGAGCGGAATAGGTGGAGAAGGGGAGACTCCATCCTCATTCCAATGGGGAGTGCTGTTCCCAGAAAGAGGGAGGAGTGCTAGGCAGACAAAAGGTAACTGCTCATTACAGCCAAAGAGCATTGATTAGCACAGATTCCTGTCTGAAGAGAAAGCCAAGTCTTGCATTCATCCACTTTTGATGTCTTCGTCCACAGCCACCCCTTCTAGGTCAGGACATCATAGGTTTTCCTCATCATCAGCATCATATTTATTTAGTGAGCACCAGCTATATGCTAGGCACCAGACCAGGTAATCGTATATTATCTCATGTATTTCTACAATAATCCTATGAGGCAGAAATTCTTTTCCTACTTTGTCAAGGTTCGGCCACATTAAATAATTTACCCAAGGTCACATACCTAGTAAGTGGAGAATCTGCAATTTAAGTCCTAGTCTGACTTCAGAGCCTGTCTTCTTTCTGCTACCTTATTACTGCTTAGGATTTGGGCAGCTCTAGGATGAGAAATACTCCTAATAACAATATGTAATTGAACTCAAAGACTTTTGCCCTCCAACCACGCCCTCTAAAATCTCCACTGGAAATTCTCTGTCTGTGATGATTTGTGAACATGTTTTATGAAAGCTCCAGGCATAAGGAACATCGTTTGGAACAGGTTTGGAACAAACAACTCTTTAAGCCCGTTTACCAGTCTAAATCTGAAGGTGGTCATAGTTGGCTAACTGGCAAAATGAGTGGGCGATGAACCACACTGATTATTCATTTTGATGGAACCAATTATGGTGTCCATGATTATTATTTTTTTAGAGTGTTTGAAAAAACAAGCTGAAGAAATGCCATAAAAATCTGTTATGTTCCCAGGAGAATGTTCTGTGTTTATCTCTAGGCCACAACAGAGTCTCAATTTTAGTTGACAATAAAATAGTAAGAAGAATAATGGCAATAGTAATGTCCATAGTCTGCCACTGGTTCTTATTTTCCTCCAGTAGTGAAATGCATGAAAATAAGGTAAATTTTAATGTTATTTTGAATAAAAGAATCAAGATATCCTACAACCTCTTAGTGTAATATGTAAAGATTAACTTAGTGTTTTAGTTTCAGAATGAGTGAAGTTGATTCCTCTTATAACATTGAAAGTAATGATGAGTGTATCATTCATCCGTTGAATATTTTTCTGCCCCTGTGAGGAAAAGATATTGTATGTGGGGGAAACCTGCGTGAAGGATTGCCTGGGTTAGTATTTGCTAAGGGATTAGAACAGAGCCTGGCACACAGTGAGAACTATAAATGTTGGTTAAATTAAACTATAGTGCTTGGAAGTTTATGAGCCCTTGCATATATGATACACTTTTTAATTCTTGCAACAACCGTGGGAGTTGGTATAACAGTGATGATTATTCCCACTTTACAGATGAAGAAAATGTCATACAGAGAAGTTAAAGGACTTGCTTAAGGTCACCCAGCTAGTAACTAAAAGGGATTAATTTATAATTCAGGATTCTATTTCCCTTTTTGGTGCTCAGGCCACTTGATCAGCAGTAGCCAAGATTTGGTTTTCATGGACCAGTTTAACAATTGGGGAAAATTATGCAGCTTATTCCTCATTTCTCGTCTTCCCTCATTTCATTCTGGACCCATCCCTGGCCTGCTCTGTGTCCAAGAGGCTGACCTGTGGGCTGTACCAGCTCCTTGCAGGCTGGCTTCCAGTTGACCAGTGGGGGTCCCTGGCAGGAGACTGAGTAGTGACAGGAGAGAAACTCTGCTGCAGTGTGGCATGTCAGGGGTAGTGATACTCCTTCAAAGTTATGGCTTCTGCTGGTGGCCCCTTCTCCATGGCTCCAGCACTCACCAGCCTTCAGTGACACAATTTTCTCCCCTTGACCCTTCTGGGCATCTCATTGCCCTTGTTTATTCTCCCACCCCTCCCAGCTTTGTGAGTGGTTCTTTCATTAAAGTCTCTCTATTTGAACCATCTGGGGTGAATTCTGTTTCCTGCTGAGACCCTGACTGTTACAAAGACCAATATTGACTTGCTTATTTTTAGATGCCAAGTAAGGGCATAAACAAATAAGCAAGACCCAAACAAAACTGCTGTCTACTACCACTCTATTTATCTTACTAAATGAAGATATTTTAGCACCGAAGAAAGGAAGAAGGGAATAATTGTAGAAAATCTAACTATATTACTTTATTCTTATTTTATTATGACCTACATAAAAAGTAAAACCTTTATTAGAAATTGGATGTGGTCAATGAGCCAATGTTTGGAAGTAAATGGGTGTGCTCACTTGATCACTCCAGCAATTTGTTCCCCTGATATTTAACGAAGTTAGAGATCCTAATACATTATACATGCAGTGCCCAATACTTACAGTGCACTTACGGAGTTCCATAAATGCTCCATGGGCTTTTTTTCAACAAAGCTGCATTGAACATCTATTCTGTGTCCTCGCCAAAGCTGGGAATATACTGATATATAAGACATAATCCCTCCTGCCATCACAGTCTACTTAGGGGGAAAGACAAGAGGCAATTGTAACATATTGAGAACAATGCTAGGAAACAGGTCAGCAGAGGGCTGAAGGAGCATATCACAGAGACAGCAACTAATTTGGGGGGCTTTAGGGGTGGGTGCTGATGTCTAGACCAGGTAGTGTGTGACCGGAAGCTCTGAAGCATTATAGGAGCTGCCTAATGGACAAGGGAAAGGGCATTTCCAGCAAAAAGCCTGGCTTGAATGAAGGCATGGGTACGTGGCAGAATATGGTACCCGTGGGAGTGTGTCTTGAAATTAACTTGGGGAGGCTGAATTTTAGGGTTGAAAGTGAGTTGCAGAAGGGAGCCAGAGGATGAGGGAACTTTAGATTCAGTAGAGATTTATTTTTCATCCTGAAGGCGGATGTAGTTTATTGGAAGTTTAAAATTTTTTTTTTTTTAAGTAAGGGATGTAACATGGTCAGATTGGCATTTTACAAAGATCGCTAGTTGTCACTGAAGAGATAAATTGGAGGGGACTGAGATTAGGCATTCAGATTCCAGTTACAATGTTACTGCAATGGGTTAGAACATTTAAAAAAGTAAGGTTCTTGATTAAAGTGACAGAGTAGTTGTGATATTCCTAGTGCAAATCCCCTCAAATCCACCTGCTGATCAAGGGGGAGGTCAGGGAGAGGCTTCCTTTGAACTTTCTTCTTAGCTTTAGCCTCCAATCTGCCACCTAGTAACCCCAGACCCCACTAGTCTGTGAAAGGCAGCAATTAAGAAGTTCCCACCCTCTCATGAGTGTTTGGATTTGCATGGAGTTAGGAATCTCACGAATGCTATGCTTTTACAAAGTAGTGCACTGGTGAAATAAAAGGCAGACTTTATATACCAGGAAGTATCCCTGGGCAAGTGCCACTTCCTTTGGTGACTACTTTGTCTGTGTGTTTATATAATGAGGGCCCGAGGTTTTGGGAAATCTCTGCTCCGTGTGTGTGTGTTTCCTATTCTCCCCATGTCCTCTTGCCTGCTATCACCTTGGAAAATGAAACCTTGTTTGCCATCTGCTTAGGAGCAAACCTTCCCATCGCAAAGTTGGACTCAGTGAATTTTCAGATACTGCTATGTGATTGGGGCTACATTTCTCTGGCCTTTTTGTCAGGTTTTTCATTCTAAAACAATGAAAATTTTATACACACACACTGATCATTTTTATGAGCTCTGTAGCATGGGGAGTTTCAGTTTTATTTATCACATGTATCACTTTGTCTATGTCTTTATATATGTATTTTAGAAATTTTCTTAGTAGTTCCATGGGAAACGGAATCCTGGTTTACGTAAGGTAAACTCCAGCATCTTTCTTTATTGAGAGTGAAGCATTGGGCAGGTTACTTAACCTCTCTGAGACTCAGTATCATTATGCGTAAAATGAAAGTGTCTTATAAACTCTAAAGTGCATCCTGAAAACTATTGCTTTTGTTATTATTATTAATAACACAGTTTGAATATATTTCAAATGTCAGGGTAACCTTTGTAAATCTTTCTTACTGTGGTTATAGTGAATCTAGACGGCTCTTAGAGATATCAAATCTGGTATTTTTTTTAGGTGAATATAAGAGGAACTACTCTCAACTGAGGACAGAGTATTTGTTGATTTATGTGTTTAAGTTCTTGAGAAATTTCTACTGTAGTTTCTGCCTATAGCTAGCTACTGTTATTAATAATTTATTATGAAAAACAAAAACTTTTTAAAGTGCTTGCTTGACTGCTGATACTGCATTTTCACATGATCAGCTAAACTCATCTTCACAATTACCACGAGGGTGAATTTAGATGACCACCGTTATTCCCATTTTACAGATGAAGAAATGATCTTGAATTCCAGCCCTGGCTGACCTTGTTGACTTCAACATCCTTGCTGACATCCCTTCCCAGAGGCTAGTTTCACAGTTCCTCAGCCTCTTGAAATCTGTGACCTTCAGCTATACTCCATACATCAAATCTTTTAAGCTAGAAAAAAAAATCGAATTTTAGCCATTCAGAACAGGAAGTGCCCTTATCGATCATTTAATTCAACCCTATCATTTTTCAGATAGGGTGACAGAAGAAGGGACTTGACCAAGTGAGTTATTAGCAGAGCAGAGAATAGATCCCAAGTGTCTTTTTTCTGTTTGGGGATTCTTTTTGCTGCACCACTGCATCTTCCCAGACAGACTCCTTGTCTTATTATCAGCATTAGCGTGCAACCACGTACATAAGACATACCCAAGGTGGGGGCTACTGTGAACTTGAATCAAAACATGTGAGGTTTAGCTTCAATGTGGAGAATATTTTCATGCTTCTACTTTCTTCCTGTTTGATATTTATAGAAAAACAATTCAGAGACTTCATTCTAATTTACGTTAGTCCACAAGATTTTCTTAACCAGATAAGCATTATTTGAACTTACTCTCTAGGAACTTAAGACTAGAATGATTTCAGTTCAATTTGAGATACATTTATTGGAGGCCTACATGTTAGGTACTGAAAACACAGGTACAGTGCCTGTGTTTTCCAGAAACTTACACACCTGGAGCAGAGAGACAGATGTCAGGAGTTAAATGCAATACAAGGTGAGAAGAGGGGTAGCAGAGGTATGCATACAGTGTTCAGTACTGCATGGGTGCCGAGAGGGAGGGGTCACCCTGGCCTAGAGAGGCCAGGTATGAATCACAGAAGAGGTGACTCTCTTAAACCAAATTTTAAGGGTAAATAAATGTTTCCCAGATAATTGAGCTAGTAGTGGTGCTGATGAGGGATCATGGAGGTGAGGATTGTGATGTATCCGTTGGCTTGTGCAATATGGAGTTCACAGGTGTTCTTGGTGAGAGTGTCTAGGGTTGAGTTGAAGAGTGAATGATAGAATCTAAGCACAGTGAAAGTGGACAACTCTTTCTAGACACTTGGTTATAAAAAGAGGGAAGGAGAGGGTGGTAGCTACTAGATAGGGATATGGGAAAGGGAGGGACATTAAAGTTAGGAGACACTTGCTCATGCTTCCCAGGAGTAAAGGAAGGATCCAGGAGAAAGAAGGATCTGGACCATCACAGACTGAAGGACCACTGGTGGAAAGGAATAAGATGAAGAACAATCAGGAGGAATGTGCCTGGAGCAGCAGGAGGAACATATCTTCCTTGGGCACTGCAGGGAGAAGTTCAAGAGGGAGTGGGTGAGTCAGATGGTTGTTGGTGTAGACGAAAGAGGATCAAGAAATTCAGGCTGGCTCACTTGTTTTATCTGTTGAATATTGTCTGTGAGATCATCTGAAGGAGAGGGATGAAGGGAAGACATAGGGGGCTTGAAGTGAGTGGAGAGGTTTGGAGCCACCATTGAAGGGGCAAAGAAGGAACTGGCCACAGATGACTAAGAGCAATGCCTGTTAAGTCACACTAAGGGCTCAGCTGATGTTAAAGAGCTCAGACCTCTCCTGGCAACAATCTAAAGAGCTGTGGCACCATCCTGGATGCCACTGTGGATGGTGTCTAGGGTGAAGGTTTTGTTGTTCTGTTAGGGTCTCTATAAATTTGTATGTTTGGTTTAGGGTTTTATCAGTGTTATTTTCTGAACACTTGATTTCTTATCTCTGTTTTCAATTTTTTAAAAATTTCCATAGGTTATTGGGGAGCAAGTGGTGTTTGGTTACATGAGTAAATTCTTTAGTGCTGATTTGTGAGATTTTGGTGCACCCATCACCCACACAGTATATACTGCACCCTGTTTGTAGTATTTTATCCCTCACCCCCCCGCCACTCTTACCCCAAGTTCCCAGAGTCTCTTGTATCATTCTTATGCCTTTGTGTCCTCATAGCTTAGCTCCCACATATCAGTGAGAACATACAAGGTTTGGTTTTCCATTCCTGAGTTACTTTACATAGAATACTAGTCTCCAATCTCATCCAGGTTGCTGTGAATGCCATTAATTCATTCCTTTTTATGGCTGAGTAGTAGTTCATCATATATCAATCGTTGATTGATGGGCATTTGGGTTGGTTCCACATTTTTGCAACTGTGAATTGTGCTGCTATAAACGTGTGTGTACTAGTATCTTTTTTGTATAATGACTTCTTTTCTCTGGGTAGATACCAGTAGTGGGATTGCTGAATCAAATGGTAGTTCTACTTTTAAGTCTTTAAGGAATCTCCACACTGTTTTCCATAGTGGTTGTACTAGTTTGCATTCCCACAAGCAATGTAGAAGTGTTCCCTCTTCACTGCATCCACGTCAACATCTACTATTTTTTGATTTTTTGATTATGGCCGTTCTTGCAGGAGTAAGGTGGTATCACATTATGGTTTTGATTTGCATTTCCCTGATCATTAGTGATGTTGAGCATTTTTTCATATGTTTGTTGGCCCATTTGTATATCTTCTTTTAAGAGTTGTCTATTCATGTCCTTAGCCTACTTTTTGATGAGATTTTTTTTTTTTCTTGTTGATTTGTTCGAGTTCATTGCAGATTCAGGATATTAGTCCTTTGTCAGATGTACAGATTGTGAAGATTTTTTTCCCACCCTTTGGGTTGTCTGTTTACTCTGCTGACTGTTGCTTTTGCCATGTAAAAGCTCTTTCATTTAATTAAGTCCCAGCAATTTATCTTTTTTTGAACTTGCATTTGCTTTCTGGTTCTTGGTCATGAAATCCTTGCCTAAGCCAATGTCTAGAAGGGTTTTTCCAGTGTTATCTTCTAGAATTTTTATTGCTTCGGTTCTTAGATTCAAGTTCTTAATCCATCTTGAGTTGAGTTTTGTGTAAGGTGAGAGACGAGGATCCAGTTTCATTCTCCTACATGTGACTAGCCAATTATCCCAGCATCATTTGTTGAAAAGGTGTCCTTTCCCCACTTTATGTTTTTATTTGCTTTGTTGAAGATCAGTCGGCTGTAAGTATTTTGGTTTATTTCTGGGTTCTCTATTCTGTTCCATTGGTCTATGTGCCTATTTTTATACCAGTACCGTGCTGTTTTGGTAACTATGGCCTAATAGTATAGTTTGAAATCAGGTAATGTTATGCCTCCAGATTTGTTCTTTTTGCTTAGTCTTGCTTTGGCTATGCAGGCTCTTTTTTGGTTCCATATGAATTTTAGAATTTTTTTTTCTAATTCTTTGAAGAATGATGGTGGTATTTTGATGGGAATTGTTTTGAATTTGTAGATTGCTTTTGGCAGTGTGGTCGTTTTCACAATATTGATTCTACCCATCCATGAGCATGGGATGTGTTTCCATGTGTTTGTGTAGTCTATAATTTCTTTGAGCAGTGTTTTATAGTTTTCCTTGTAGAGGTCTTTCATGACCTTGGTTAGGTATATTCCTAACTATTGTATTTTATTTTTTTTGCAGCCATCATAAAAGGAGTTGTGTTCTTGATTTGATTCTCAGCTTGGTCACTGTTGGTGTGTAGAAAAGCTGCTAATTTGTGTACATTAATCTTGTATCTAGAAACTTTGCTGAATTCTTTGATCAGTTCTAGGAGCTTTCTGGAGGATTGTTCAGGGTTTTCTAGGTAAATGATCATATCATCAGCAAACAGTGACAGTTTGACTTCCTCTTTACTGATTTGGATGGCCTTTATTTCTTTCTCTTGTCTGATTGCTCTGGTTAGGACTTCCAGTACTATGTTAAAGAGGAGTGGTGAGAGTAAGCATCCTTGTCTTGTTCCAGTTCTCAGAGGGAACACTTTCAACTTTTCCCCATTCAGTGTTATGTTGGCCATGGGTTTGTCATAGATGGCTTTTCTTATATTAAGGTATGTCACTTGTATGCTGATTTTGCTAAGTGTTTTAATCATAAAGCGATGCTGGATTTTGTTGAATGCTTTTTCTGCATCTATTGAGATGATTATGTGATTTTTGTTTTTAATTCTGTTTATGTGATGTATGACATTTATTGACTTGCATATGTTAAACCATTGCTGCATCCCTGGTGTGAAACCTACTTGATCATGGTGGATTATCTTTCTGATATGTTGTTGGATTTGCTTAGCTAGTATTTTGTTAAGAATTTTAGCATCTGGCCGGGAGCGGTGGCTCACGCCTGTAATCCCAGCACTTTGGGAGGCAGAGGCGGGCGAATAATGAGGTCAGGAGATCGAGACCATCCTGGCTAACACAGTGAAACCCAGCCTCTACTAAAAAATACAAAAAATTAGCTGGGCATGGTGGCGGGCGCCTGTAGTCCCAGCTACTCGGGAGGCTGAGGCAGGAGAATGGCGTGAACTCGGGAGGCGGAGCTTGCAGTGAGCCAAGATTGAGCCACTGCACTCCAGCCTGGGCAACAGAGCGAGACTCCGTCTCAAAAAAAAAAAAAAAAAAAAAAAAAAAAAAAAAAAAAGAATTTTAGCATCTATGTTCATCGGGGATATTGGTCTGTAGTTTTCTTTTTTGATTATGTCCTTTCCTGGTTTTGGTATTAGTGTAATACTGGCTTCATGGAATGATTTAGGGAGGGTACCCTCTTCTTCTGTCTTGTGGAATAGTGTCAATAGGACTGGTACCAATTCTTCTTTGAATGTCTGGTAGAATTCTGTTGTGAACCCATCTGGTCCTGAACTTTTTTTGCTGGTAATTATTAAATTACCATTTCAATCTCACTGATTGTTATTTGTCTGTTCAGGGTATCTAATTCTTACTGATTTAAGCTAGGAGGGTTGTTTTTTTCCAGGAATTTATCCATCTCTTCTAGGTTTTCTAGTTTATGTGCATAAAGGTGTTCTTAGTAGCCTTAAATGATCCTTTATATTTCTGTGGTGTCAGTTATAATATACCCTATTTCATTTCTTATTGAGCTTATTTGGATTTCCTCTCTTCTTTTCTTGGTTAATCTTGCTAATGGTCTATCAATTTTATTTATCTTGTCAAAGAACCAGATTTTTGTTTCATTTGTCTTTTTTATTTTTTTTGTTTAGATTTTATTTAGCTCTGCTCTGATCTTGGTTATTCCTTTCTTCTGATGGATTTGGGTTTGGTTCGTTCTTGTTTCTCTTGTTCCTTAAGGTGTAACCTGTGTCTGTTTGTGCTCTTTCAGACTTTTTGATGTAGGCATTTAGGGCTATGAACTTTCTTCTTAGCACTGCCTTTGCTGTGTCCCAGAGGTTTTGATAGGTTTCGTCACTATTGTTGCTCAGTTTGAAGAATTTTTTAATTTCCATCTTGATTTCATTTTGACCCCCTGCTCATTCAGGAGCAGGATATTTAATTTCCATGTATTTGCATGGTTTTTGAAGGTTCCTTTTGGAATTGATTTCCAGTTTTACTCCACTGTGGTCTGAGAGAGTGCTTGATATAATTTCAATTTTCTTAAATTTATTGAGGCTCGTTTTGTGGCCTATCATATGGTCTATCTTGGAGAAAGTTCCATGTGCTTTTGAATAGAATGTATATTCTGTGGTTGTTGGATGGACTGTTCTGTATATATCTGTTAAGTCCATTTGTTCCAGGGTATAGTATAAATCTATTGTTTCTTTGTTGACTTTCTGTCTTGATGACCTGTCTAGTGCTGTCAGTGGAGTACTGAAGTCCCCTACTGTTATTGTGTTGCTGTCTATCTCATTTGTTAGGTCTATTAGTAACTGTTTTATAAATTTGGGAGCTCCAGTGTTAGGTGCATATATGTTTAGGATTGTGATATGTGCATATGTGTTTATTGTTGGACAAGGCCTTTTATCATTATATAATGTCCCTCTTTGTCTTTTTTAACTGCTGTTGCTTTAAAGTTTATCTTATCTAAGAATAGCTACTCCTGCTTGCTTTTGGTGTCCATTTGCATGAACTATCTTTTTCCACCCCTTTACCTTAAGTTTGTGCAAGTCATTATATGTTAGCTGAGTCTCTTGAAGGCAGCAGATAGTTGGTTGGTGACTTCTTTTCCATTCTGCAATTCTGTATCTTTTAAGTGGAGCATTTAGGCCATTTACATTCAATGTTAGTATTGAGATGTGAGGTACCATTCATCATACCATTTGTTGCCTGTATACCCTGGTTTTTTGTTTTTTAAATTGTATGTTTGTTTTATAGGTCCTGTGAGATTTATGTTTTAAAGAGGTTCTGTTTTGATGTGTCTCCAGGATTTGTTTCAAGATTTAGAGCTCCTTTGAGCAGTTCTTGTAGTGGTGCCTTGGTAGTGGCAAATTCTCTTAGCATTTGTTTGTCTGAAAAAGACTGTATCTTTCCTTCACATATGAAACTTAGTTTTACTGGATACAAAATTCTTGGCTGATAATTGTTTTGTTTGAGGAGGCTGAATATAGGGCGCCAATCCCCTCTAACGTGTAGGGTTTCTGCTGAGAAATCGGCCGTTAATCTGATAAGTTTTCCTTTATAGGTTACTTGGTGCTTCTGTCTCATAGCTCTTAAGATTCTTTCCTTCATCTTAACTTTAGATAACCTGATGACAATGTGGCTAGGCGATGATCTTTTTTTGATGAATTTCCCAGGTGCTCTTTGTGCTTCTTGTATTTGGATGTCTAGGTCTCTAGCAAGGCTGGGGAAGTTTTCCTCGATTGTTCCCCCAAATACGTTTTCCAAGCTTTTATATTTCTCTTCCTCAGGAACACCAATTATTCTTAGGTTTGGTCATTTAACATAATCCCAGACCTCTTGGAGGCTTTGTTCGTATTTTCTTATTCTTTTTCTTTGTCTTTGTTGGATTAGGTTAATTTGAAGACCTTGTCTTTGAGCTCTGAATTTCTTTCTTCTACTTGTTCAGCTATATTGCTGAGACTTTCCAGTTCATTTTGCATTTCTATAATGTGTCCATTGTTTCCTGAAGTTTTGATTGTTTTTCAATTATGCTATCTATTTTCTTGAATATTTCTCCCTTCACTTCTTGTATCATTTTTTGGATTTTCTTACACTGGGCTTCACCTTTCTCTGGTGCCTCCCTGATTAGCTTAATAACTAACCTCCTGAATTCTATTTCAGGTAAATCAGGGATTTCTTCTTGGTTTGGGTCCGTTGCTGGTGAACTAGTGTGATTTTTTGGAGGTATTAGAAACCTTGTTTTTTCATATTACCAGAGTTAGTTTCTGGTTCCTTCTCATTTGAGTAGGCTCTATCAGAGGGAAGGTCTAGGGCTGAAGGCTGTTTGTCAGATTCTTTTGTTCCACAGCGTGGCCAGAGCTGTAGTGATTGTTGCCTCTTTTCTGGATCTGGCCACTCTGTATAGACAACCCCCAGTACCAGCCCGGAGCCTGGTAGACTTGGTGCTTCTCATGTACTACTGCTACCACCATGATGCTGTCCACTAAAGAACACTTTTTGGTACTGGGGGTTGTCTGTACAGAGTCCTGTGTTGTGAACCATCTGTCAGTCTCTCAGCCATGGATACAAGCACACTATTTGGGTTGTCTCCTGGGTCCTACAGGAGCAATCCGCTTCCTTCAGGGAATCTGTGGGTCCTCTCAGGTTTCCCGATTTATGCCTGCAGTCATTCTGGAGTAAAAATTCATGATAGGCGCCTCCACATGCTACTCTGTTCATCTAAGTCAGAGCCACAATGTATTCCTGCCTCCCATCTGCCATGATCACCTCCCTCACTTTTGATTCTTCATCTCTTGATTCCTCTCCAGATGCTTTTATGATTCTACAAATCAGGGTTGCCCAGGACAAGGATAACAGCAAGAAATATCTCAAATTCCCTCTGAAAGCTCTAGGATCTAATTAGCACTTATATGGAAAAGTCACATTCCTAATAAAAATAAGATGCAGAAACCTCCAAGTTGGCACTGTAAGAAGAATTTCTTAAAAAGGAAAGAAAAATGAATTAAGAAATCCCAGCCTTTCTTTCCAAGCTTCACCCTCCTCCTGGCGCTTCTCACATACTACTGCTGCAACCATGATGCACGAAAGAACACTTTCTGCCTTTAACATTTGTGGTAAGTATCTAGGTAAAAGACTCATCCACTTGTCCAGCTGCATTGTACAACACCAGTTGCATGGAGACAGAAAGGGGAAAATAAAGAGAGGATTTGTGAATTTAGATCTTCATTTAAGCTACACATTTCTAGCTTAAAGTACCCATAGGAGTTTCTGCCTTCCTTTCTTTCTCTCTCCCTTTGCAGACAGGACACCCTTTTATCATCCACCTTTCAGGAGAGCAGCTGCAGACATCTCTACCTCTTAACATTAGATCCAGAGAGAGAAGTGAAACTCTGTCTCCTGCCTACCTAGAACCCACCGTCATAGTTCTCATTTCTTTCCTGAGGAACAACTTTCTTCTACAGGTGGCTTCATCTTTGGGGATATCCCTATACTTAGCCATGAATGAGCAGCCTTCTTTATAGGTCTCAATCAGATAATGGTAACAACCTACAGCACAGTGACTCCAATGGTCAAAGAACAAGATTCACACACGAAGAACTTTTGTCTTTATAACAAGCATGATAGAGATATAGTAGCAGAAACAGCAACAAAATTATTTTTAGTTACATTTCTTAGACAACTATTATGTGTTCTATGATTTATAAATGTTATCTTCAATCCTTATATAAACTTGTTGGGAAGAATATTATCTCATTTTAAGGATGTAAAAATGAAGTTCTGAGAGATAAAGTCTAGGTCACAGAGCAAGTAAGATGTGTCTGTTCCCTGCATTGCCAGCCAGCCCTGTATCACCCTTGATTCTAGATTGCATGCTCAAGTTAATCAGAATCCAGCCATACTGCCATTTACTCACTATGAGACCTTGGGCATAGGTTGCTTCCATGCCTTCTACCTCAGCTTCCTCATCTGTACAATAGGGTACTAAAAGTACCTATATCATAGGACTAGAGTGAGAGTTAAATAGAAAACGTTCCATATAAGTTTGCTATTATTATCATTATTAGAGCAAGCTAATTTGTTTCCATCTTGCTTTCCTGTCTGGATTTTAAAATCACCTTGTTCCCATTGTAAGAAACATGCAGAAAATACCTCTAATTTAGTTTTAGATGGAGCATTTTGGTCTAGAGACATATTTTAATCAGGGAGGCAAGGGTCATCTCTTTAACTTTCATTTTGCCCTTTTACAGAGCTTGAGCATGCTCAGAGGGTAAATAGAAACCTCTTCGGCTAATTTTTGGAAGGAAATGCCACAGCCAAATGATGAGGATGATGTGGGGACTGATCCTCCCTTTCAGCCAGGATAGTTGGTTCTGATAAAAAAAAACACTTAGAGCTCTATCATTTATCTAGTATTTTAAAAAATCTATATGTTATTAAATGCTCACAGATTTTTAGTTATTATTCTAATTTTAAGGGTATGAAAACTGAGACTTATTCCATATCTACAAATAGCCAAGACTTGATCAAGGTCCCCTGATTCCACATCCTGTACTCTTTGTACTCTCACTTACTGGGTAGAAATTAAATGGGAAAGCTAATTTTCCCTTGAGGTCATGGAGACACAATCTGGCTACTCAGTGGTTTCCTTGTTCAAGGGTTAAGAGAAATGCTGGCCAGTGTGAAGCTCCTTCCTATATATTTTCCCAAACCTTCACTGGGGACGATGGGTGAAACACAGCCTGCTTGATTGTTTAGAAACCCACAAGTTTCTAGTAAATACCATACATTTTCTTGAATTTTCCAAATGTGTGGACTCTTGATGGGTTGGAAAAAGTAGCCTTGGGGTTAAAAAAAACTCCTATCCTTCTACCCCTTATTACTCCCTTTGAGTTTTACAGAAGTATCATTTTCAGTTTTAAACTTCCTGATTTTGTAGCATTAATAATTTGTTTTGAGTCTATTTATATCTAGTAATTTAGAGTACTTTAGATAAACTTCTAGGATGTTGACTAAAGAAAGAGGGAAATGTGGTTGGAGAAATGAGTCTGTGGTAAGGGAAGTTTGTAAACCAACACGGGGAAGCTTAAAAATTCTGCAGCCAGGCCGGGCGCGGTGGCTCACGCCTGTAATCCCAGCACTTTGGGAGGCCGAGGCGGGCAGATCACGAGGTCAGGAGATCGAGACCATCCCGGCTAAAACAGTGAAACCCCGTCTCTACTAAAAATACAAAAAATTAGCCGGGCGTAGTGGCGGGCGCCTGTAGTCCCAGCTACTTGGGAGGCTGAGACAGGAGAATGGCGTGAACCCGGGAGGCGGAGCTTGCAGTGAGCCGAGATCCCGTCACTGCACTCCAGCCTGGGTGACAGAGCGAGACTCTGTCTCAAAAAAAAAAAAAAAAAAAAAAAAATTCTGCAGCCATTCGAACTTACTTCCCATCCAGAAAAATAGTTGGAAAGAAGCAGCTGCAACGTTCTGCTAAGCTGATTGTTCCAGGACAAGCATCATCATCTCTTTAATGTCATACTTTCCACCCATCTCCT
This sequence comes from Homo sapiens, assembly GCF_000001405.40. NCBI lineage: Eukaryota > Metazoa > Chordata > Mammalia > Primates > Hominidae > Homo > Homo sapiens. The sequence goes on from NC_000009.12 coordinate 106,012,015, forward strand.
CTCTCCCTCCTTTGTAGCACTCTTTCCTTTCCTTCCCTTCTTTTACCTCCTTTCTTTGCTCCAACACCTTGGATATTGAGTTTCTTTTCGATGAGTGTTCTCTTCAATAAAATAAGCCAATACCTAACAAACAGCATGAAGGAAAGAAAATTGCTTAAGGAGAAAAATACAGTCTTTGTTTAGGAGAAATAGTGATTTGTTTCCTGGGAGGATTACCAAAAAAGAGGCTCACAACCACTTCTTTGCAGATCAAGGTTGTGTTTCTGCTTACAGATAATTGGAAGCAACGTGTAGGTTTGAAAAATGACCCATTCCTTCACAGGTGAAACTTAGACTATCCCCCTTCTATCATAATTATCGACAGATTTAGATTGAAGTGATTGTGGAATGCATTGTCCTTACAGATATTCAGGGACATGATGACGAGTGACTCTGATGAGAATGACTGAAAATGGTACAGTTCACCATCACAGCCCCTGAAAAGGCTGAGATATGCAAAAGTGCTGGTTTGATCCAAAAGGTATAAATAGCACTCGAAGGGGAAGGCTGAGCAGGGCTTGCAGGCTGCTGTGTTGGAGGAACAATTTGACAGAGACAGAGCAAGAGGATGATAACTTGCAAAAAGGATAATTTGTCATGATTACCTCTTCCCCCCTCCTCCCTAGAGAGAGTAGCTTTCACCCATTGGAATTCACGTGTGGGGGAAAAAAGCATTGTAACCAAAAAAAAAAAAATCATTTTATATTTTCCTTTTCTGGGTCTACACTTTGGGTGCATGGAGGCATCACATTGTGAAAGCTCTGCTAAAAAGATGTGCCATGTTGCAGGATTTCTCTAAGGTTTGAGACATTTTAGTTCCAGTAGCTTCTTCGTTAGGAGGTGCTGCTCCTAGATGCAAATACTTTGGATTTATTATTGCTTATGCAGTCATCAGACAACCTAGCCACCTCCACCAATTTTGCTACAAATGCATTTGCCCCATAAACTCAAATGGTGCCAACTGCTATCATGGGTTTGAAGACAAATCCTAAAATTTTTGTAGCAAAAACTTTGAATAGCCTGCCTGCTTTTCCTTTTTAAAATAACATTTACTATTTTTAAAAATAAAAGTAGCACATATTCAGTGTAGCACTTTTTGAAATATAAAAAAGTGTGAAGATGAAGGAATAGAATATTATTGATAATTCCATCACCCATGTGTGAGTATGTTAAGACTCCCTGCGGACCTTGGAGTCTTCTGCCTGATTCACGTTAGATGTGGTTTTCTTTGTTCCACCACTCCTCTTCTCTTCTCTGCTCATAGTTGCCCTTTCTCTCATGTCTCCTGTCTCCTTTTGTGTCTGTGATTTTGGCTCATTGACTCTGCCTTTGGGGTACTCACTTGCTTCCTTTGGAAACTTCACTGGGGGAGCATGGTGATACTTTCTTTACACCAAAACCTGATGGGCCACGGGAATGTTTTACAGAAAATCAGCTCCATCAATTTCCGTATGTAAAGTTGCTCTAGAGCAGCGTTTGGAGATTTCTACCCTGTGGTAAGAAAATGCCTCCCCAAATCCATCACTCTGGGAGATGAGGGTGGGTTACGATGGCAAGCCCTGGTGGAAGGAATAGGGCTGAAACCAGGGTTGCCAGATTTAGCAAATAAAAATATAGGATGCCCAAATGTTTTCTGAGGCATACTTATATTAAAGAAAATTTTGTTGATCTGAAATTCAAATGAACTGGGCACCCAGTCTTTTGTCTATCAAACTCTAGCTGAAATAGTAGTTAAAATTCCAGAAAGGCAAGGGATTATGGAACAGAAAAAGGTGACTAGGGAAGGTGGCCTCATCTCACTTCAGTGCATTCATGGGAGCCTTGTTCCTTTCTAGACATGGATGGCCCCACCCACCAGGCCTAAGTCTGACCTGTACTCTCCTTTCTCTACTCTCAAATGGTCAGCTTCTGATGGGGATTCTGATGCCTTAAAACTCTTTATCCACCATTGCCTCCATCCCTGTCCAGTTCAGGCCTTTGCCGGTGGTCACCGGGACCACTGTGATGCCTTCCTAGACCAGCCTCTAATATGAACAAAATGAAAGCTCCTCCAACGCAGCTTTTACAATGCTGCTGAGAGCTCTTTCTAAATGTAAATCTAGGGAAGTCCACTCCCTCTGCTTAAAACCTTTCAAAACGTTCCCAATGCTCTTAAAGTCTCCACTCTAGAAAGCCTGACCAGGCTTTCCTGATATGGCCTCTGTCCTCCTCTTCACCCTCATGCTAGGTTTCCCCTTATTCCTTTACATTCATCCTAATTTTCCCTCCAGTTCTCTGAATAAAATGTGTTCTTCTTGGATTGTAGACATTGTACATTAAAAAAAAAATTCACTCAAAAAGCATTCATTTCTTCTCTACCAAGTGCCATTTGTAGAGGCGAACAAGATGTGGTTCCTATCCTCATGTAGGTCTAGGCCAGGACTCAGCACTCAGGTATATAGGGGCTGGGACGGCCATACTGTGAGGGAAAAGAGTGGGTGAAACATGGTTTTCTTGCTCTATCCTACCTTTTTCCACTTTTGGTAGAAACATGAACGTAAGAAACATTTTGTTTTTCCTTGAGCTGTACTATTAGAAAGACAATAGCACAAGCTTAATGATAAGTGGAGCTGACCAAGGCCTCACTGCTAGGGGCATGTCTTAGTCCATTCTGGACTCTGTAACAAAGTACCTTAGACTGGGTAATTTATAAATAATAGGAGTTTATTGCTCATAGTTCTGGAGGCTGGGAAGTTCAAGATCGAGGGGCCGGCTGCTTTCATGTCTGCTCCTCATAGATGGAAACTTTTTGCTGTGTACTCATGTGACAGGAGAGATGAACAGTGTCCTCACATGGTAGAAGGAGAAACGGGGCTCCCTAAGGCTCCTTGTATAAGGGCACTAATCCCATTCATGAGGGCTCTGCCCTCATAACTTGGTGGCCCCAAAGGCCCTCACCTCTTACCATTCTCATATTAATAATAATTAATTGCCATTAAGTTTTGACATATGAACTTGGGGGGATATATTCAGACCATAGGAAGGCACAAGAAAAAGTGATAGCAACTGGAGTAAATCAGACCCCATTTAAAGGGGTAGTCATTACTCAGTTCTAGTCAGTTGTTACCATGAGGGTATTTCAAGAGAAATCAGAAATCAGAATTTTAATGTGAAAACCTTCATTGATGACAGTAATTAAAAACAACAACATCCACAAACCTACAAAGCTCTGAGAGCCAGATTAACTAGATCTGTGGCTTTGCTTTTTCTCTTGAATATCTAGTATGAGAACTCTGCCAACTGCTTGGTTCACTCATCACATCCTATTGACCTAGAAAACTCTTACTCATTCTTAAATGTATCAAAACACCCCATTGCACCCCATAAATATATAGAATTATTATTTCTCAATTAAAAAAATGTTACTTCTGACAATAACCTTTCTTAGCTCCTGCCCTTAACCCTTGGCTATGTCAAGTTCCCCTCCAGGGTGTTTCTGTAATAGGAGGCACTACAGGAAGCCTTTCTTTCCCTATCCCAGCACTTATCCCACTGTGTTATAGCTGCCTAGGCAGTTATTTCTCTTCCTTCATCATCTGTAGTAACCTCCACATGGGCAGTAGCTCTGTGTATCCTGCTGGCTTCTGTTCTCACGTGCAGTATACCTGTCTCCAACCTGCGCGGCCACGAACCTGCCGTAACTTCTCTACTACTCCCTTAGGAATTGGGCTATTTGTTTATTTGCAGGATTCTGCCCACCCCCTCTGCCTTTTCCTCATCTTCATGCTCCAGGCTTGGGTCAGCCACTGTGCTCTAGGAGATGTGGGGGGTGGGGGGGTGGGGGCGGACTGAATCCTGCTTGCTTATTGCCACAAAGATCAGAGTATGAATTATAAGCAGATCTCTTGTTGGACAGAAGCATGAATGCTCTGGCGCTTCCTGTGTAACACATCCAAGGTGACCCTTCTTTCTCCCACCAACTTCATGAGTGCTAATGTTTAGCCATTCTGTGCGTAAGATCATCTGGCTTCATAAATGCTCCTCAGTATTCAGCAAAATGTACCAAACACTTTTGATACATAAGGGCAATGCACTCAGGAAGAAGTTTTATGACAAAAGCTACTTCAGGTAAGACCTTGATGTTATTCTAAGTCAATTCTTCATAGTAAATATTCTACTGTATTTGTTTAGAAGCCAAGCTTTTTTATCCCCTTAAAAATGTATCCTTGATTTATCAGTTCAATTTCTGATGTTCTGTATGAAGACTGAGAGGCACTTTACAATATGTAAGGGAAGGAGATAGGGTTGTGTGTGTGTGTGTGTCCCAGTGTTATCTTGGTGGGAGATCTTCTGCTGGTTGCATCTAGTCTCGCTTCCACAAACATGAGGATAACCACTCCTGTGTCTTCTGGGCCCTATTTTCTACTCAGTGCATGGGTGCATGTGTGTGTGTGTGCAGGTATGTGTATGTGAGTGTGTGTGTGTGTGTGTGTGTGTGTGTATCCCTACCAGTGACCTGGGCCATTGAATGAAGCATTTTTGACATGGGGTGGATTGTATAAGAGGTTAGGAAATCTCTAAAGGCGGAAAGGAGGTGAACATCTCATGGGTGATGCACTGGTTTCTATTGATTGGTAGTTGTTAGTAGATAACAATGGGGAGGCCAGGTTTTCTTTCTGCTCCCAGGCTGATGATGATGATGAATGGCTCCTGCTGGGGCACATGCCTGTGGTCTCTCCATCTCACTCATTTTGTCTATGTGATTCTTCCTCTTCCTTTCTCTTGGCCGGTGGAGACTTTTATCTAGTCTAGTGGCAGAAACAATCTCCTCTCAATATCTGCTCTCAATCTTTCTGTTTTACACCTAGCCCAGTGGCTTTTGAACTCAATATTTAAGAATAGTCCCTTGTGGTTTTCTGGTTCTTCAGTGTGTCGTTTACCTCCAAGCAGTAGGTGTCTTACATCTAGGTGTCTAGGCAAAGAGGGGATGTCCTTGGAGTAACAGTGAGGAAATTCCATGACAGCAGACATGAAGGAAAACACACTAATTACTACTTCAAATTATTGTTATATATTATGTCCTACTTGCTTGTAAATATATATGCAAGATTTTAATAGGAGAGCATCTGTAGAGGGTAGACTTTAAAAAAATTCAGGCATATTTGGTAAGCTGACCTTAAATCAAATAAGGATGATAATTAGCCTCACCCTTGGTTTGCAAAGTGCTTTTACATGTGATGTTAATCTCATATCCAGCTTGTGAAACAGGCAGGATCTGCAGTGTTTTTCTGTTTCATGAAAGAGGATCAGAGAGGTTATATAACTTCCACAGAGTTGCAAAGTGAGTACATGTCAGTGGACCCAGGACTTTGGACTCTAGTCCAAGTCTCATTCTGCTACCCAAAAGCTGCTTCTCTATGATTTGGAAGGGTTAGCCCTGTCACTGAGTAAGCTATGCCTTGTAAGTGCACATGTACGCACAGGATGTTTCTTTATCTGTGGCATCGTACATACCATCCTTTGTCCCACATACAGTCAGTTCTAGATGGATAAGCTGCCCTAAGCGATCTTTCACAAACAGGCCCTCTTGGTCTTTTTTTTCTACCACAGCTTACGGGACTGCTGAAAACTTTGACCTATTTCATAGATAAGTATTTAATTAATTAGTTAATCCACCTGTCAATTATTTAGTGATGCCTAGTCCTGGGTTAGGCTGTGGGGAGAGAAATGTATAATTTGTTCTTTGGCCAGAATGCACAGGAATGAGGAACAACAAATGAGGCTTAGTAAGTGGCTGACTGCCGTTTGCAGTGATAGAGGTGTTTTTACAGTTGTGAGAGAACAGGGGCAGGACCATTAAGCAAAATCAGGGCAGGGAAAATTTTCATGGAGTGAACTGAAAAGTTGATCAGGCCGGAATAGGGAAAGGACATCCTAGCAAAGGGTTAGCCTTGAAGAAAATCATGGAAGGCTGGGAGTGCAAAGGCCAGTGTGACTGGTGTTGGGGTGAGGGGTGAGTGATGGGACAAAAGCCATGGAAATTGACAGAGGTTGGATTGTGAGGGGCCCTAGAACCTAGACTATATCTGGACTTTATGCCGAGGAAGGTGGGAATTGCTTGGAGATGGTAATAAAGGGGGTGATAACAGTAATTTAAAAAAATCTTTCTTGCAGCAGAGGATGATTTAGAGAGAAATGGAACTTTTAGGCTGTAACATCAGTTAGGAGAGGAAGAGGGCCTTGACCTGGGCACCATCAAGGCTGTGGGAGAGGACAGGGATACATTTGTGAGGTGTTTAGGAGAGGTAATTGACGTTGGTAGAGATGGATGGGTTGTGGTGATGCTTAAGAGAGGAAAATCCTTAGACACCATCTAATTTCTGGACAGGTGGAGGATACTGTCTCTCATGAGAAAGGGAACCCTTGGGGAAGAGGAGGTGATGAGCATGAGGGTGATAGTTTGCATCACCCTTGGTTTGCAAAGTGCTTTTACATGTGATGTTCATTTTATACCCAGCTTGTAAAATAGGCAAGATGGGTAGGGTTTGGTCAGATACATCAGAAGGTCCCATGGCAGTATTTAAAAGGCAGGGGGGAATGGTGATCCAGTGTGAGCAGAGGTACACACTTCCAGCCCTAAATTAACTCACAGGGAAGCTCTTGTTGCCTCTTGGGCCATCCAGTGATATCAACCTGAGATCTGAGGGGGGATCTGGACTAGTAGGAAAGAGGTGTTCTCAGCTGCACTCTAAAGGTTTGTCTTTATGCTACAGGATCTTCATCTCATGAGCTTAACACCTGGAGAGAGGAAAGGTGAGAAATTTGTGAAGCAGCTCCAATTAAAATCAAGAATTAAAGAATAATGTTCTTTCCTGATCTGCTAGGGAACAAGAGAAATAACTTCAAATCAAACCTTAGTTGATCCAGATCTAAAATAGATTTAAATCAGCTCTCCAAAGCCTGGGCAGGTTTTTAAATAAAAACCTGTGTTTCAGGTTCCTTTTGTTAAAGAAATGCCCTTACTTGATGGAACATCAAAACCTCATTATATTGCAAACATTGGACTATAAAAGATGGAGAATGAGCAATTCTACTTAGCCGCTGCAGCCCTCCACACGGTGCCCCAGAAGGACAATGAGTTCCAAAGGTCAGGGTTACACATGGCGTGGTAAGTGTTTTTCTCCTTCTAACACTCAACAGGCTTGGAAAATGGCCAATGTTAGAGACAGAGAGAGAGAGAGAGGGAGAGGGAAAGAGGGAGGGAGAGAGAGAGAGAGAGGGAGAGAGGGGGTTGGGGAAGGGGAGAGAGAGAGAGAGTCAGTCTGTAGTCAGGCTTCTTCAAGAATGAAAAATAAACTTTCTTCCCCCCCTGCAGAAAAAAAAAAATTGAAAAAAGACAAACCCTGAAGAAAAGCAGACAGCTGCTAACTAGTTGTCTAGCTGTCTATTTGTGGACACTTCCTTTCATCTTGTCATATCTTTTGTGGTGTTTGAAATGTTTGGAGCTTAAGAGTGGAAGAACACTCAGTGGAATCCAAACTTTTATTAAAAGAAAGGGAAAGAGAGACAGCACAGTTCTGACAACAAGTGAGTATTTCAATGTTGGGGCCATATTCTGCCCAAATATCAAGCAGAGGAGCCCTCTATTTCTAGCTAAATGAAGCAGAAAACATATTTCGATTAAAAATACGCAAGAAGATAACGTGTAGGAAACCAACTTATTTTGTGGGAAGGCTGCAGAGGGATACAAATGGACCTTAAGAAGGGGCCAGGAGGAGAGGGGCCTCCTTCCCAGGCTTGGCCAGGGTCCCTTTGTGCTGGTTCATTGGAATGCTAATTTCTGCTCCATTGTCCCTGAGAAGCCACTCTGCTTTCTCGCACTGGAAGCCCTTTCTCATTCTCTTGTCTTTGGTGGTCTTCACCAGCTGCTTCTATTAGCTTAGAGCCTCAGGAGATTTTATTTCCATGAATGTTGTTTTGTGCAGACCTCTGTTTCTATTTGATCGATTCATCCATTTGATTCTCATTCCTTCTTGCATTCATCCTCAGGGGTTAAACCACCAGATTATGGTTTCCTTGTCAAAATTAGAAACCCAAAGTGGACTGTCACAAGGATCCTGGGGATTTTGTCTTTGACATCCATTTCGGAGGAAATGGAGATTGAAATCTTAGCAGGAGAATCTCTTCAGGGACTCTGATTTTTCTTTAAAAGGAACCAAGTCCTGAATTAAAATAAATACCTAGACTTCAGATGAGGCATCAGAGAATCAACAGAAGGCCTAAGTCTTTGTTTCACTGGCTGTCTGTGTGCACCATAATTAAGGGGAAAGAGCTTAGGGAATTATCCACAGCTCAGCTTTCATAGCCAGTTTTCTTTTCAAATTGGATACTTAACATATCGCTCAGAGAATGTATTTCAAAGACTTCGCTAGGTGCCTATGGTATGCTGTGGCATTGACAGATGGGCAGAAGCTGGAAAGATGGGTGGGTTCTGTTCCTTCATGTCCTAAAATACCAACAGCTGTTAGGCTGCACATTTCTGTGCTACTTGGGGCTTTTTACCTAGCATTGGAGTATGTTGTGCTCTTCTCTCCTTTCCTCTACTGCATGAGGAGGCAACTGGTGTAGAGTGACAAGGTGGGAAGAACAAAAGCAGAGTCTTTCAGATCTGGTTTCTGCCACCCCTCCTCTCTGGGCCTCATCTGTAAAATGGGGTAAATCTGCTCTGTGGCTGTGAGGATTATATGAGATCACATATGTAAAGTTCCAGGGATCTGGAAGGCATTCGAGAAAAATTAATCACATACTCTTCTATCCTTCACCCCTACCCTCATGGAAGATTGAGGAATGACTCTAAACCTAATAAGCAGTTTATTGCTGTCCCTCAAATGTGTCATGCTTCTTCCTGTCTCCATGATTTATTTGGCACTGCTGCCCTTCTGATTGGAATGGTCGTTCCCTAGATTCCCCCCATGGCTGGCTCCTAGGCATCATTCAAGTCTGAGTTCAAAGGTTGCTTTTTCCAAAGGCTCTTCTTGCCCTGGTTAAAAATAACCCTTGGCTACTATTCACAATAGTAAAGACATGGAACCAACCTGAATGCCCATCAATGATAGACTGGATAAAGAAAATGTGGTACATATACACCATGAAATACTATGCAGGCATAAAAGGGAATGAGATCATGTCCTTTGCAGGAATATGGATGAAGTTGGAAGCCATCATCCTCAGCAAACTAATACAGGAACAGAAAAACCAAACACTGCATGTTCTCACTCATATGTAGGAGCTGAACAATGAGAACACATGGACACAGGGAGGGAAACAACACACACCAGGGCCTGTTGGGGAAGGGGATGAGGGGAGGGAGAGCATCAGGACAAATGACTGACGCATATGGGGTTTAATACCTAGGTGACGGGTTGATAGGTGCAGCAAACCACCACGGCACACACTTACCTGCACATTCTGCTCGTGTATCCTGGAACTTTAATGTAAAAGAAAAGGAAAAAAAAAAAAAAAAAAACAAACAAACCCTAGGCTAGTCCCTTAAGTCATCTAGTTTTTTTTTTCCTAGTACAGCAATCTCAAGTGTTCTTTTTTCTTACCTTGATGCATATTATCTGCTTCTCTCTGCTAGAACGTAAGAACCAAGAGTATATAAACTTTGTCTCATTCACTAGAATACTGTGTGGCACAGATGTTTATGTACTTTGTCCTGGTGCTGCCTGGGGATATGGGCATGAATAGGACCCAGACCCTACTCTCCAGGAACTTTCAGTCATGTAAAGAAATAGTTTATAATGCACACAAGATTCTTGTGACTACTTTTGGTTTTCACAGAGTAGGGAGACATAGACACATACAATTTTATATAGTAATCTGAGGCCAGTGCATCAATAGAAGTGTGTTCTAGGTGATACAAGAAAGATTTGATGATTCTGCCTGGGTGTGCTAAGTAAGGTTTCCAGGAGGAGAGGTAATTCAGCTAGGATTTGCAGGATTAACTGCAGGTCCTGGTTAGGTAGACTGTGGTGGAAAGGCATTCTCAGCAGGAAACCTGGAGCTACAACACAGCACACAGCACACAGCATATAGTGGCAAATAGCTTGTTCAGGTTTTTATATTAAGCCTGTAGGATTTCAGCATACTGGCTTCTGCTCTGCATTCCAACCTTGTAGGATTATTTTCAATTCTTCATCCTGACATGTGCGATATTAAAAATCTCTCCTGACTTGGAGTCATCTGAAATATGTCCATAAAGCCCTATAAAACTGGCCAGTGGCTGGAATTGAAGGGGTAAGAATGGAAATGGGCATAGAAGGGAGATATTTACCTGAGAAAGGTTTAAAATAGAACCAATCATGGGGCAGGAGTGTGGGGTGGAAAGAGCTCTGGGCCAGAAGTTAGAAGATCTGGTCCCTCACTCTTTCTGTCACTTGTGCAGTCTTAGATTATTTCATGTATCTAAGCCTCAGTTTCTTCATAAAGCAACAACAGCAACAACAAAATAAAATAACGAAGTGTGGCTAGTAATACCTGGTAAGATTGGGAATCACAGAAAATGAGTTTGAGCTTCCAAGGAATCTTCACTGCAATTTAAGTGATGCTAAGGGCTATGAGAATACCTGGAGGTGCTAGGATTCTATGGACTCTAAATGCTTATTGTTATTTGACTTTTTTCCTAACCATTTTCAGGTTTAGATTTGCAAAATATTTTCAATTCCTTGTTTTTCCCAATCTCCCCTACATTCATTTGTAATCAATAATGTCGGTTTTTCCATATTGTCAGCCAACAGCTTAGCATGGGATATTTCTATCCCAGATATTCCTCCAAAAAGCTAATCAAATAATACCAGTTTTTTGCTCAGACAGATGTTAGTGAAGATTAGAGAGAGTCACTGAGAATCATGCCCTATGTCAGTACGTTGAATCCATTTTTCAAAGTTTTCAGGGTGTAGGTCTCTCTGTTGCCACGAGATGAGCTGGGGTTGAGCCCTCAACTGGCTGGACTGTTGGCATGTGTCCTGTGAAAGCTTTAAGGAACCCTGGGCATGATCTGATCCACCTACCTCATTTTACAGAAGAATAAGTTGAGGCCCTAAGAGGAAGGAATTCGTTCAAGCTTTGACAGTCAGTAAATGAGCTAAAACAAAGTGAAACAGACAACAAAGCAGGAGAAATCACCTGTGGCATAGCCTTCCCTATTCTATTTTATATTTAAAATCTATTTTAAAATTATCAATATATGAATTTGTCTCAGAAAGGATCAGACTGACTTTTAAAAATATACACTACAAAAAGTTTTCTAAAAAGTAATTGAGAATGACAGGGCACTCGCCCACAGACGGAGAGAAAATATTTGCAAGAGATGTGTCTGATAAAGGACTGTTATTCAAAATATACAAAGTACTGTTAAAATTCAACAATAAGAAAATAAACAACCCAGTTACAAAAATGGGCAAAAGATCTGAACAGACATCACACCAAAGAAGATACACAAATGTTGAATAAGCATATAAGCACATGAAAAGATGCTCACATTATGTGTCATTAGGGAACTGAAAATTAAAACAATGAGATACACACTTTTTAGGGTGACTAAAATCCAAACCACTAACACCACCAAATGCTGGGAAGTGGTGGAGCAAGAGGAACTCTCATTAGTTGCTGGTGCGAGTGCAAAATGATACATCCACTGTATTAGTGGGCTGTCATGTTGCTAATAAAGACATACTCGAGACTAGGTAATTTATAAAGAAAAGAGGATTTTTTTTTCTTTTTTGAGACAGAGTCTTGCTCTGTTGCCCAGGCTGGAGTGCAGTGGCGCCCTCTCAGCTCACTTCAACCCCTGCCTCCTGGGTTCAAGCAATTCTCTTGCCTCAGCCTCCCAAGTAGCTGGGATTACAGATGCGCCACCACCACGCCCGGCTAATTTTTTTGTATTTTTAGTAGAGATGGGGTTTCACCATGTTGGTCAGGCTGGTCTAGAACTCCTGACCTCAAATGATCTACCTGCCTCAGCCTCCCAAAGTGCTGGGATTACAGGCGTGAGCCACTGCGCCTGGCCAAGAAAAGAGGTTTGACTCACTGTTCCGCATAGCTGAGGAGCCCTCAGGAAACTTACAATCATGGCAGAAGGCACCTTTTCATAGTGTGGCAGGAGACAGAATGAGAGAATAATAGCCAAGTGAAGGGGGAAGCCCCTTATAAAACTACCAGATCTTATGAGAACTCACTCACTATCACAAGAACAGTATGGGGAAAACCACCATACTGTTGTAATAATCCCCTTGACACTTGGGGATTATTACAATTCAAGATGAGATTTTGAGTAGGGACACAGCCAAACCATATCAGCCACTTTGGGAGACATTTTTGCAGTTTTTTTTACAAATTAAACATATATTTACCCTACAATCTAGCAGTTGTGCTTCTTGGTATTTACCAAAAGGAATTAAAAACTTACCTGTGTAACAAACCTGCACATCCTGCGCATGTACCCCAGAACTAAAAATAAAAATTAAATTTTTAAAAAACTGAAAAAAAAACTTATGTTCACATAATAACCTGTACACAGATATTTAACACAGTTTTATTCATAATTGTCAAAACTTGAAAGCAACCAAGCAGTTAGTGAATGTATAAATAAACTGGTGTATCCAGACAGTGGAATATTATTCAGTGTTAAAAAGAAATAAACTATCAAACCATAGAAGAACCTTAAATGCATATTACTAAGTGTAAGATCAATCTGAAAATGCTACATACTGTGTGACTACAACTGTATGACATTCTGGAACAGACAAAACTCCGGAGACAGTAAAAAGATCAGTGGCTGCCAGAGATTTGGGAGATGGGAGGAATGAATGGGCAGAGCACAGATGATTTTTTGGTCAGTGAGCTACTCTGTATGATACTATAATGGTAGATACAAGTGATTATACACATATCAAAACCCATAGAGCATATAACACCAAGAGTCAACCCTAATGTAAATGATGGATTTGGGATGAAAAGGATGTATCAATGTAGGTTCATGGAATGTGACAAATGTATAATATCATTCTGGTGTGTGATATTAATAGCGGGAGAGACAGTGTGGCTGGGGGCAGGGAAGAGGAGAATATGGGAACTGTACTTTCTGCTCAAATTTGCTGTGAACCTAAAAGTACTCTAAAAAAATAAAATCTGTATTTAAAAAAGCAATTGAGGAAATGAGGACAAAAAGAAAATAATAACAGAGAAATAAGTTCAAAACTTGGATAAGGTTAATGAATAAAATGTGTGCACATTTCCTAGAGATGGGGTACACATTTAATTTCTGAGCAGTTAAGGCAAAAACAATAATAGTATCCATAAGTGAAAAACAGTTTAGCATACTTAATCCTGGGACTAAGACCAGAGAAGAATTTCTCTTACGTTTCTTTTTACCAGAGACAGGATAAAGTAGTGAACTATGTCCTCAACAACATTTGCTAAGTAACAACAACAACAAAATAATAATGAGTTTCATAGGGTAGAAGTCTTGGCTTTATAATAAATACACATTCCCCAAAGAGGTCCTACTTTGAATGACCACCAGGGATGCACTAGTCTGGCAGCGTGGGTCTGCACGAGTAAGTGCCTGTCAGGCCTTCTGAAAGAAGTGGTAGACGTGCTGGGGCTGGCTGCTCCTTGTCAGGGGAGAACATGATGTCCTCAATTCTCAGGCAGTGGACTGGATGCCAGGAAGGGCTGACATTCACCAGACATTAATTAAATACCAGGATAGTGAGGTGATTTGGGGTACAGCACTGTCATGGTGTTGACCTCCTTCCTTCTAAGAAACTTGTCTCAGCTTCTGAAAGAATATTGGACAAAATTGCAAGAATGAGGAGATTTTAAAACCAGTTTTATTGAGGTATGATTTGCATACATCAACATTTATGCATGCTAATGTACAGGTTGTGAACCCATGTAACTCTCACTCCAATAGAGTTATAGAAGATTCCCATTTCCTTAGAACATTCTCTCAATGTGTCTTTCTTTTCATTCTCTTCCCCCTGCCTCTGGTACCTACTCCCCCATTCCGGACCAATGCTGATTTACTATCTCTACAGATTAGTTTTGTCTTGCTAGCATTTCATATAAATGGAATCATATGATATGTGTCTTTTCATGTCTGGGTCTTTCACTTTGCACATCTGTGAGATTCACCAATACCATCGAGAGTATTAGTAATGCATTCCTGCTTATTGCTGATGACTATTCCATTTCACAAATATACCATAATTATTCATTCACCTGTTGAACATTTTGGTTTTTCCCATTTTGGGATATTATGAATAAACTTGCTATGAACTTCCATGTACAAGTCATTGTGTGGACATAAGTTGTCATTTCTACTGCTACTGCCACTAATGGGTTGTGTCCTGTGTTAAAGGTAACTACTGCTCATATGCAGTGCCCCTTTCTGCCTGCTTTCCTCTTCCTTTTTCCTTTCTGGAGCTCAACATAAGACAGCTCCTCTTGTATTTCTTATTCTGCTATGGTAACACATACTCAGATAGTGCCTCCTCTTTATTGAGGCACATCATTCTTTCTGTCCCACCTTTTTACTGAAGGACTGAAGGGCTCACTGGAGGTGTGCCTCAGCCTCTAAGTTCTCAATTTTGGTTTTAGTGGAAACTTTGCTCTAAAACAGCTTTTCTGGCCAGGTGCGGTGGCTCACGCCTGTAATCCCAGCACTTTGGGAGGCCGAGGCAGGCGGATCACCAGAGGTCAGGAGTTCGAGACCAGCCTGGCCAACATGGCAAAACCCTGTCTCTACTGAAAATAATAATAAAAAAAAAATTAGCCATGCATGGTGGCGCACACCTGTATTCCCAGCTACTTGGGAGGCTGAGGCAGGAAAATTACTTGAACCCAGGCAGTGGAGTTTATAGTGAGCCGAGATTGACCCACTGCACTCCAGCCTGGGAGATGGAGCAAGACTTCATCTCAATAAAAAAACAAAACAAAACAAAACAAAACAAAAAACAGCTTTTCCCAGAGAGAAGAACACTGTGGGTTATGTACTGCTTGCATTGTTTACTAAACCCCACCTGCCTGTTATTTTCTCTTATAAAATCTAGTTATTTGCCTTCATTATATTTATCACAGGTTGTAATTACATACAACTTATTTGTGGTTTATTGATCAATGCATGCCTCCTTCACTAGAATGTCATTTTATTAACCACTATGCACCCAGTACATGGCATGCGGCTTTGGCTTGAGCAGATACTCAAATGTATTTGTTGAATGAATGTAGGGGTTCCAGCCATTGTCCTGATGGGACTTTGATAAATGTGACTCTGATCCAACATCCATTATTACACAGTTCAGACTAGGATGGCTAAAGGTACTGTTTCAACATATAGTTGTCAGCACCCTGATCCTGTGAGAAAGTTTGGGGTCAATTTTCTAAGGACACTCAGGTTTTCTTTCCTTCACTAAATGTACATACAATGCAGAGATCTTCAAAACACCACTGGTGCTTCGAAGTTATGTAACTTTGCCCTTGTGCAGATGGAGACTTGAGACCCAGACAGGTTTTTCTAAGACATCAAGATCTTTCCAGTTCAAGCATAATAATTTTATACTTAATTTGGGTTTTAGAATTAGACCTGAGTTTGACTCCCAGGTATATATCACCAAGTCATGGTGTGATTTTGATCAAGTAACTTAACTTCCTTGAGCCTCAGTTTCTAGTCTAATAGGCCTTTTGCTATTGACTATAGCTCTTATGCCTCTGCAGACCATCTCCAGGCCAAACAGCTTTTTTGTTTGTTTTGTTTTATTTTGTTTTGTTTTTGACAGGTCTAATTTTGTTATAGGTTTGAGTTTGCTTACCTTACCGGTATGCTCAACTGAATATGTCTGTTTTTTTTCATTCTCAGAGTGTGGAATCTCGAGCTGAGGGCAGGTAGCCCTCAGGATGTGGCCTGGCTAGTGCACAGATGAGCAGGGCTGTTTCCCCATTGTTCTGGGTGCTAGTCTAACATTGAAACTGAGGGCTGCATCATTTTCTGTGGCGATCACGTGGCTCTGCTGATTCAGGTTCAGTACCTCATCGACTAATAACCCTACATTCACCCTTCATGTCAGCCATTATTATTATTGTTGTTATTATTTTTAATGTTTAAATTCAGTTTTAAGTTCCCTTGCCATCCTTGTCAATCTAGAGATACAGAGTCAAACTCTTTTGGTTATTTTCTAGTTAGTTCTGAATTTATCTTATTGCCTCTTGCTAAATTAGTGCCCTGGTGTCCAGGCAAAAATAAGACTTAAACCACCAAATTGAATTATTCTCTTGTTCTTTGCCTATTCACCTCTATGGGAGAATCCTTAGGGAAGGGTCATTTAACAACATTCCTGAATTATTATTATGTGCCAGGTCCTGTGTCCCATTCAGTCCAGAAGACAGAGAAGTAGAAGATTACAGTGCAGTGTAATCAGTGCAATGACAGAGGGAAGTCTCCTCTGCTCAAATAGCAGAGGAGAGGACCCAGACCATGAAGACCAGAGAAGCAAGCCAGCTGTTCAGTGTCCAGGCTGGAGGTATATTCAGGCTTGATCCCTAGAAAATCTGTGTCTAGTTCTTCAAATCCTTAGCATTTTGAGGCTTATCCTCTTCTCGGTTTTCCTGTACCATTCAGGTAGCACCATATCAAGAGGAACTCTACAATCTGATGATTCATTCATTTGTTCATTCCATGAATATTGGAGGACCTTTTAGTATGGGGTTATACAAGGGAACAAATGAAATAAAATCTCTGTCCTTGTGGGCATGCCATTCATGTCTTTGGCTTGAACTACTTGCTTTAGGCCATTTCATACTTTGTTTCTTGACCTGTGTCCAATATTGTTGGTTTCTGACTTCTTGGTTATTTGCTTGCTTATTGCTTTAGCTTAAACTTGTAGCAAAGACCTGAGACTGCTTCTCTGGATTTTCCTCATTGATGTGACCCAGACTCTTTCTCTGGAGAGATATATATATATGTTAGTAGATGCTAAATGTTTAGAACAGCATTCAGCGCATTTGTAAGAAACTTTGTAAGTGCTTGTCATTATAATAATAATTATTTTATGTATAATAAAAATTATATATATCCAGGGAAGTAAAATAAATACTAGGAAAAAAATACATATATACATATATTCAGTATTTTCCCAAGGCCTATATCCCATAAAAAATACTACTCAGCTTGATCAGAGCCCTGGGACCTGTTACCTTCAGTCACTTGCCTCTCCTCTGGGTCCCTCTAGGTTCCAGACCTTACTGGGTTTGTTTTAGCTACATATACCAAAACTAGAGAGCTGAGAAGGTGAGTAGGTCCAGTCAGGTGTGATTCTTGATATCAGAGCATATTTTGGTTCATGGCAGAACTCTGTGTTGCAAATAAAGAGAAAAGTTGCACCTTACTGGGAAAGGGAGCTAGTGAGAGCCTTGTCATGTCTAGGACATAGTTAGGTGGCTGAGATTTTGGGCAAGGATCTAGGCTCAGGAGAGAAATCAAGCCAGAAACCGCTCATATAGCCTATGACAAGTGATGGTGGTGGTGGGAAGGAAAATAATTATAATAATAATAATTATAATGACAAGCACTTACAAAGTTTCTCATAAATGGGCTGAATTTTGTTCTAAACATTTAGTATATATTAGCAAATTTAATCCTTCTAGGGATCTGTTGCGGGAAGTCAGGGACCCCAAATGGAGGGACCGGCTGGAGCCACGGCAGAGGAACATAAATTGTGAAGATTTAATGGACATTTATCGGTTCCCAAATAATACTTTCATAATTTCTTATGCCTGTCTTTAATTCTTAATCCTGTTATCTTCGTAAGCTGAGGATGTATGTCACATCAGGACCACTGTGATAATTGTGTTAACTGTACAAATTGATTGTAAAACGTGTGTTTGAACAATATGAAATCAGTGCACCTTGAAAAAGAACAGAACAACAGCAATTTTTAGGGAAGAAGGGAAAAGACAACCATAAGGTGTGACTGCCTGTGGGATTGGGCAAAAAGAGCCATATTTTTATTCTTGCAGAGAGCCTATAAATGGATGTGCAAGTAGGAGAGATATCGCTAAATTCTTTTCCTAGCAAGGAATATTAATATTAATACACTGGGAAAGGAATGCATCCCTGGGGGTAGGTCTATAAACGGCCATTCTGGGAATGTCTGTCTTATGTGGTTGAGATAAGGACTGAGATACGCCCTGGTCTCCTGCAGTACCCTCAGGCTTACTAGGGTTGGGAAACTCTGCCCTGGTAAATTTGTGGTCAGACCAGTTCTCTGCTCTCAAACCCTGTTTTCTGTTGTTTAAGATGTTTATCAAGAAAATACATTCACCACTGCACATAGACCCTTATCAGTGGTTCTGTTTTTGCCCTTTGCCCTGTGATCTTTGTTGGACCCTTATCAGTGGTTCTGCTTTTTCCCTTTGTCCTGTTCCCTCAGAAGCATGTGATCTTTGTTAGACCCTTATTAGTAGTTCTGCTCTTTGCCCTTTGAAGCATGTGATCTTTGTACCTACTCCTTGTTCTTACACCCTCTCTCCTTTTGAAACCCTTAATAAAAACTTGCTGGTCTGAGACTCAGGAGGGCATTATGGTCCTACTCATATGTGATGTCACCCCTGGCGGCCCAGCTATAAAATTCCTCTCTTTGTACTCTTTCTTTTTATTTCTCAGCTGGCTGACACTTATGGAAAATAGAAATAACCTACATTGAAATATTGGGGGCGGGTTCCCCCAATAGGGATCAATTCTCATTTTAAAGATGCAGGAACTGAGGAATAGAGAGGTTAAATAACCCAAGGTCCTTCAGTTAGGTAGGTTAAGATATGGAATTCACATGGATGTCTAGGCCCCTCTTGAAGAAACGGGCCCTGTTTCTAGACCTTAGAGTTGAAGTTGCTGAATTGCTCCACTGGTTACAGTCTGGGCAGGTGGAGGACTTTGAGCCGACAGCTGGGCAGGGCTGGTTGTTGAGGGAGGATTACTAAGGTGGGTCCTGAATGGGAACTGGAGCAAAGTGTACGGGGGGTTTAGTTGGGGTCTGAGCACAAAACTGCAGTGATCAGCGTTTCTCTTCATGTTCTTCTCCAGTTAGTTATTGCTGCAACACTCAAGCATCTTCTGTTTTCTTGTCTATGGATGGGCCACCTAATGACCTACATTCTCATTAACCTTGAAATACTCGTAACCATACTGTCCAAATCTCTTTCTTTTCAGCATTAAAAAATAATGTATGTAAATGTAGTGCTGTCTAATCTAGTAATGCTGGATATTGGGGAAGGACATGTAGATTCAAGTGATACTTCCACAATCATAATACCACTTTGGTAGCATTCTTCAGTATATTCTTTGGTTTAGTCTAGACTTTTCCAGGGCTCTTGTAATGGTGCAATTCATTACTAGATGCCAAGAACCCTCAGAAGAAGCTAAGATCATGAGATGATACAATTGAGAACAGATATCTCTACAGCAGAGCTAAGGGCTCTCTGTGTTCCTTTTGTCCCTCCTGAAAATATGCCTCATGCTTTTCATACTTGACTATCATAATGCTGGGAGGATTCTGGAAAATATGTGCTGTTATGGTGTGGTGTGGTGGGGAGGGGATTTTAACCTCTCTAACCTTTGTTACATCTGTTCGTTGGTACTTGGAAGAAGGTTTGACATGACCTGCTGCTATGGTTTGTAAAGGAGGATCATGAAGCCAATAAGGATTCTGAAGAGTCCATGAGCCAGACTAGTTTTTGCTTTTTCATTTGTTATACTGGAAACTGAAGGAGACCTTGACTTCAGATGGAAGTTCTGGTAGTGGAAATGCTAGGCAAGGCAGAAGCTGAGCTGATACCAGCTTCTCTTATGAATGAGCAAGGGGACTTACATTTGCATGCTGTATAATCTTAAACCTTTTAGAGAACAGGAGCCATGCTTTGTGCTTCTTGGTTCCATGGTATCTTGACTTCTTAGGAAATATTTGTTGACTTGAATTTAAGGGTGGGCTTTCTTTTCACATGATAGTTGGGTAAGATGACCTGAGGGTTTCTATGGATTTCTCTAAGACTGAAAATAAGTAGATGAGTGAAATAAAACCTAATGCTCAGCACATAGTAGAGGGTCATTAAATATTTGTGAATAAAAGCCTTTTTCCTGGCTGCATGTTAAATTATAAACTGAGGTCAAAAGGAGATCCGAGACTTACCTTGTTTAAGCAATATTTCTTACTTTCAACCTTTTCTGTTCAATAGAGAACCCTAAGTTCCTCTAGTAGATAATTCACACAGTCTGACAAATGGCTCCTGGTCTGGAAGGACACATGCAGTGTTCTCCATGTAAGCTGGGGTACTTGACTTGGTAAGCATTTGTAGGAACTACCCAAGAACGTTTGGACCAGTACCTCAGCAAAATCCCTATTGTAGAGAAAGAAAGCCATACAAAGATGCTGTCCACAAAGACTTACTCCCCCACTCCTCTTTATTCCTGCTTGAACTGTGGATCCTCCATTTCCTGACATGTGAGAAGTATAAGCTGAATCCGTAATCAGCTCTTAAGTCACAGGTCTGCAGCTATTTTCTCTACTGAGCTCCTAAAACTCTTTCTTAGTCTCTTTCATTGATAGACATTATCCTTAATATTTTGTACTTTCTGGAAAACAGCTTTGCTGTGTTCAAGAGACTTCTGTTTGCAGTTGGACATACATGTTTTTGAATCTAGTACACTGTGACTTTGAGCAAATTATTCTTTGTTTCATTATCTTGAAGAGTGGAAGCAATACCACTGTACCGGGTTGCTGTAAATGAAAAAGAGATGATATGCAGTATGGGGCAACTGCTAAGCATTCAAGAAATATTTGTCCCTTCCTTCCCTGTTGCTGCCTTAATTTTTGTTTCCTACCCTGGCATTCGGCTTCTTTGTCATTTTTTTTTTGGCAGAGCTGAGCATAATGAGCCTACATAGAGCCCAGTTGCCCTGTCTTTGGGTCTTGATTGCTTTTGCCTTTCCCCCTATAAATGAAGCATCACCTCCTGGTTCATTGTTGATTTTCAGAGGCACGACTGTTTGACAAACCATTTCAGGTGCTGTCTGCAGGCTGCCTAATGAGCTCTCATCTTTCACATCACTGACTGTTCAACTGATTTAGGGAAAAGTGCCCCCCGCTGATGTGTAAGAAACAGATGCAGCATAATTGTTCCATATCTTTCCTCGTTTTCTTTTTCTCTATCTCCATTTCTATGCATGCTTTCCCATGCATAGGAGATCTAATAATTTCCAGTACCATTTCTCTACTGGGAATATATTCCAATAATGCAATGTTTTTTGGTAATCGAAGTACTATATTAATTGATATTTATGGGTGTTTTTCTTAATCTAATGTTTGTTGCCGTTTCATCTAATTCTTATTATTTAATGGCCTGGTTTCGCATTTCTAGATTGCTTTAAACATTGAATGTGCTTTTAGCTGGCCTTTGAACATCACCTCTATTTCTTCCTGGTTTGGCAGCTCTCCCCTTCTTGCCTTTCCTTCGCAAGGCAGTAAATAGAAATGCTTGTGTGCCTGTAGTTTAACTGGTGCATAAGTGCCTTTAGCAAACTTCTCTAGCTATGTGATTCAAAGCAGCAGCACTTAAATAGAACCTATGAGTCTTATTTTCAATCTGGTTTCCCTCATAGACTTGTAGTTTGTATCCTAGAATAGCAAGACACACATTCGAATCATGGGTTCCCAGGGCTGTATGGGACCTGAAAGGAGGTCTAGTTCAAATCCCTATATGATGCTTTTCTTGACTTCCTTAGGCAATATAGGGGTATCAGAACCCCTCACCTGTTTATGAGCTGGACAAACTAGAAAAAAAAAGCGTGGTACTGAATTCTGCAGACAAACTTCATTTTGGTGAATACATCCGTGGTTGTGTTAATCTCAAAACAGCAGACTTCTTTTTTTCTTTGTTAAATTAGAATGTGTTGACTGTCACGAGTTCTAGAGAATTGGTGGTCCCTTGGTAATTTGTGGATAAAGCCTTAATACTCTGTCACAGATGTGTTTCACGCTTATGGTAGCAGTCTTCCCCAGGGTTGCAGAAGGAACTTGGACATAGTGATTCAATTAATCCAGTTTTGTAACTAGGATGAAAGAATTCAAGAAAAAGTCAATTGCCTCTGCCAAAATTTAGAAACTTGATGCTAAGGAGCTGCTTAATTGCAGTGGTTATTTTAGGCATAATTATTTAAACCAGGGATTCCCATCTTTTTTGGAAATGCATTTCTATCCTGGCCTCTTCCACAAAGGATTTGAGGCAGCTCAAATATTTTGTTTCATTACACAGCAAACCTTATCCTCAAAGAATTGAATGGAATATATTTATTTTTCAAATTTACATAAATTAAATTGTATTTTGAACATTTTTCAAAAATTAGGAAGGGGAATGTAATAGGAAAAGCTCTACAGTTGGAATCAGAGAACCTGGGCTCCATTCCCAGCTTTGCAGATAATAGCTGCATGCTCTTGGACAAGTCATTTTTGTTTTGCATCTGTAATATGGGGAAAATAATATAGATAATATAATACTAACAGTTTCCATATATAATTATTAATATGTGTCAGGTATGTATTTTAGCTCCAGATCCCTCTATAATCCTGCAAAGTATGTTTGATGCCCCCTGTTTTAAAGAAAAGAATAATGAAGGCTGAGGGAACTGATATGACTTGTTCAAATGAGCCCATATAAGCACAGGAATGGCAGAACATAGATTTTTATGGCTTTTCCCATAATGCCAGGACATCTCTAGGAAGAAGGGAGGACCCAGATGAATCCGATTCTGTTCATTGTTTGTTTTTCATGCTTATGGAGAGGTGGTCAATGAGCATAGCTCCTTAGTGAAGGGATAGCCACTTAGTAGTGGGACACTGGGGCTGCTGAGCCCCGCCTCAGTTTGGTTTACATTTTATAAGCTTGCTGTAGCTGCATAGCTTGGTTCTTACTTGTGCAACTCAAGAAAGAAACGTCTGTGATAGAATAATCTCGGTTCAAGTCTAGCTCTGCCTGCGTTAGTTATCTAAACATAGTGGCTTGAAACAACACACATTTATTATCTTGTAGTTTCTATAGGTCAGCAGTCTAAGCATGGCTGAGTTGGGTCCTCTGCTCAGGGTCTCAAAGGCTGAAATCACAGTGTCTAGCTGGCTGCATTCTCATCTGGAGGCTTGGCTGAAGAAGAACACACTTCCAAGCTCATTCAGGTTATGGGCAGAATTCATTTCTTGGTGGTCTACGGGAGCTGGGGGCCTCAGTTTCTCTCTGGCTATTGGCTGAAGGACATCTGCAGGTCCTACAGTTCACCTGTGGTTCCCCACCATGTTGCCCTCTACCTTGGCAGTTCACAACATAACAGCTTCCTTCTTCAAATCCAGCAGGAGAGCCAGACTGAGTCTACTAACAAGGTGGAGTCTTATGTACAGTATCCTCATCACAGGAATGACATCCCACCCCCTTTGCTGTATTTTATGGGCTAGAGGAAAGTCCCAATTCCTGCCTACACTCAAGGGGACTGCCAAAGCTGGTTTGGAGTTTCTGTGGAAGCTGTAGCTTTTAAGAAAAATCACTAACATGTGGTCTTTTGGCTGAGAGGTTTTTTGGTGGAGCTTCAAAAGAGCAGTGAGGGGGAAGGTGACACCTGCCTGGGTGATCACATTAACCAAATCTGCTTGAGGCATCAGTGTTGAAGCCAAATCTTGTTACACAGAACTGATGTTTGGACAGTCACTCACTCTTCTTGAATTTTCTTTGTTAAATTGGAATCTTAATTACTTACCTTATGGAGTTGTGCTGGAATGGTGTATGTCAAAAAAGTTACTTGGAAACAGTAACACAACACATTTACTAGTCACCTTTCTGCCTGGAAGATACAGGATCCCCATCCACATCAGCTGCTCAGAGTTGGCATGGTGCCAGCTTCCTTTCTAGGAATTCATCTGTCCCAACCACACAAAAATAAAAATGCAAATACCTTCTGGCATGATGAAAAATAATGCAATGATTTTCACATTTTGGATGATGCTTAAAAATCAACAGGGGCCATTGTAAAGACTCTTCCAAGCATCTTTAAAAAGGACTGACATGTCATCATTTTGTTGGGAGTTTTCATCCCTTTTTCATTCCACCTTGTAATTTTCCTTCTGGACCAGTTAGCAAAAAAAAAAAAAAAAAAAAAAAAAAGCAGCAATAAAAGAAAGCCTTAAGAAAACACTCCCATGTCTCATAGTTAGCCAGAGGTTTCTGAAATGGTCACTTCCTGCCTAATCCTGGCCTCACATCCTTATTCAGGTGCCTGAGTTGGGTTGGGGCTCCTTGGTTAAGAAAGCAAGGGCATAATGATATCTTCTGTAAACATATGCTCCCTTTTAAAGGGATTCTTATGATTACCAGAATACTTATAATTTTCATCTCAAGGATTGGCTGAGTTGGAAGGTTTAGTTTTTGATGGTTCCAAATCTCAATATGTTTCTGACAAATGGTGGATGGCCTTGTCTTTAGCAGTCACTCTGTATATTCATGAAATTAGGTGGTTGGCTCAATTTGATTATTACAGTTTTCTGTATTCCTTCTGGGGTTACCATTAACAATGTTCAGCAATTTTAAAAACAATTTTTATTGTACTTTTGTGTATAATGCACGCTAACTTTCACTACTTTTGGCTCACTGCTACATTTGAATGACCCAGTTTTGAGGAAGATATTGGTACCTACACTTGGCTTCTCCAATCCCTCCATAATCCATAGATTTACTGGTTTTCTCTATGCATGGAATCACCCGTAATGCCCCATCCAGTTATCTAATTGTGGGTTTGATTTCTTTAGGATAATCTTAACAATGCCTTCACTAAATCAGGAGAATACCTAAACAAACACAACAGTATTTTACATGAACCTTTTTTTAAAAAAATTTGCATTTGGAAACTATTCTCTCAGAAAACTTTTCTGAGCACCTATTCAGTGTCAGGCATTCTGCTTAATGTTTGAGTACAAGAAGAAGTACAATCATCATAGCATTGGTTATAAGTTCTTTGAGGGCAGTAGCTGTGTATTAGTCACCCTTGAATATGCCAAATACAAGTACTTAAAATATACTAATAATCATGATAAAATAAGTAGTGTTAATACATAGTTATTAATAAAGTACCCTGGAGCCATATGGCTTTAGTAGTGAATTATTTCAAAATTTAAAGAACAGATACATACATACATTATTTCACGTAGAAAATAAAGGAGTTTTTCATGTAGGAAGCATTTTTTATTGTGAGGGAGGTAATGCATCTTCTGAGCTCTTTTCCTACATTTGTGTGAGTTTTTATAGGAGGCAAGACCCACATCCCATAATATATTCTCAGATAGCCATATAATTGCTCTCCTTGGATACAGAAACTGGGCCTTGTGCAAGCTGCCATCCCAGGGTTTTGAATCTGAATGAGTAAGGCAAAGAAACAGTAGCAGAGCAAATGTTCTGAAGTGGTAGGAGTGGCTCCCGGGCCCAATGATGGTACTGCCCATGACGACACACTAGCTGTGGGCTGGCGTATTTGGTTTCCCTTGGTTTATGGGCTTGGTCTTCTAGCTTTGTAATTTATTATGTGAGCTATTCACTGTCTTACTAATCAAACCATTCTTTGATGAAGTTTCCCAGTGTTAATGTCTGTTATGACAGTTCTATTTGATAATACCTCTCAAATACACTCGAGTATTCCACCAGTTTCTTTAAGTGTTTTTCCTGTACCATAGATTTGAATGCACTTTCCTTCACCTGGAAATATTTCTGTTATTTTCAACCAAGAACCCTAACTGGTGTAGAAATTTTCATAAGAGAGGATTACATGCAAATGATTCTCAGAAGGTAGGGAAGTGTGTGTGTGTGTGTGTGTGTGTGTGTGTGTGTGTGTGCACGTGCGCGCACATGTGCAACTGGAATTGTTTATTTGCCCTAATTAGAAATGAGGGTGGTGAAAATCCAGATTGTCAGTGAAACTGGCAGTGCCTGGCATGCATTTATGAAACAGCAAATTATTATATAACTTGTGGTCGCGTAGAATGAAGTGCCCAGTGGAGGCTTTAGGAAATCAAGGGGCCATCACCATGAAATAGCCTGGCATGGAGAGGAGAAGGAATGCCAGAATGGTCAGAGAGAGTAGGTGCTTCTAATAGCTCTGAGTAACTTAAAGAAAGAGAAAGACTTGTTCAAATGTCTTGGCTCAACAAATAAATAGAAACCCAGGAAATGTTAATATCTGTGCCAAAGAGTTGTCTTTCCTTTTGCTAGTTCAAACAAAATGTGGTTTACTGAGGTGCAATGTCAGCTGAATGCATAGACTTAACAGGTTTATTATGTGAAAGGTATGGAAAAGAATGACACCGGAAGACTTGGAAAGGAGATCCCATCCCCCAGCTTTCCTTGTTAACCAAATAGCCCATTCTCTCTTACATAATAATGCTAGTAATATCTTGCTAAATGATACTGTAACTTCTTTACCAGAGGGCATTACTTTTTAAAGGAAAGCCAGTTTGTACTCCTGTCCTTCTTTATTTCTAAACAAACTAAAAGAATTCAGCACATCTCAGAAGACAACCCAGAAGAAAAAGACTTCAACACCAAAATGATTGTAGGACTTTGCCAATTTATGTTGCCAAGACTCTGAAGAATGTGTATGAGAATGCTTGCCTGGGTGCTGAATCAGGGAAGGAAAAACAGAACTTTAGATAGGGCTGAATACTTTGAAATGGGTGTGCTTATCAGAAATTCTGGATTCAGTGTGCCATATTTAGCAGATGGAACAGTTCTATTTGGTTGGTTGACTGAAATCAGGATATTATTTTGTAATCTTGTTCCTTATTAAATGAAGCTTAGATACAGAATTTTCTTTACTGACTGTAAGACAGGGGATACTGATGGGAGAAAGCAGCATTTACTGATGGTGAAATCAGCATGGGAAGATTTGGAGGTGAAGACACCCATTCATGACATTTAACAACTAGGGGAGCAAGATCAGAGGTTATCACCATTATCAGAATCTGCAGGGATCTTTGGTTAGTCACTAGGACCAAAATGGAAGGCAGCACACTAAAGTTCTTCACTTGTATGATTGAAAAAAGAAAATTCCCTGCAATCTGATGAACTATGGCCTGACATGAGCTACTAAAAAGATCATGTCCAGTAACCAAATCCCCAGACCTGAGTAAGGTCATGACATATTTTGATTAAAGAGGAGACTGCATTCCTGGAATGGCATAACCCCACAGTCACATCACAGCTATGTACTGGGAGTCTTCCTCCTAATCTTATTCAAAGGGACCTGCCACACTGTGATGGTACATATTGAGTGTCAACTTAATGGGACTGAAGGATACAAAGTATTGTTTCTGGGTGTGTCTGTGAGTGTGTTGCCAAAGGAGATTAACATTTGAGTCAGTGAACTGGGAAAGGCAGACCCACCCTCATTCTGGATGGGCACCATCTAATCAGCTGCCAGAGCAGCTAGAATAAAAGCAGGCAGAAGAACGTGGAAGGACTAGATTGGGTGAGTCTTCTCACTTCCATATTTCTCTTGTGCTGAATGCTTCCTGCCCTCAAACATCAGACTCCAGGTTCTCCAGCCTTTGGACTCTTGGACTTATACCAGTGGTTTGCTACGGGCTCTCTGGCTTTCGGCCACAGACTGAAGGCTGTATTATCAGTGTCCCTACTTTTGAAGTTTTGGGACACGGACTGGCTTCCTGGCTCCTCAGCTTGCAGAAAGCCTATTGTGGGACTTCGCCTTGTGATCATGTAAGTCAATTCTCCTAATAAACTCCCCTTCATATATTCATATCTATCCTATTAGTTATGTCCCTCTAGAGAACCCTAATACACCTTGTAAAGTGTGTGTATTAGTCAGGGTTCTCTAGAGGGACAGAACTAATAGGTTATATATATAAAGGGGAGTTTATTAAGTTGTATTAACTCACATGATCGCAAGGTCCCACAATAGGCCATCTGCCAGCTGAGGAACAAGGAAGCCAGTCCAAGTCCCAAGGCTGAAGAACTTGGAATCTGATGTTTGAGGGCAGAAAGCATCCAGCACAGGAGAAAGATGTAAGCTGGGAGGCTAAGTCGGTCTAGGCTTTTCATGTTTTTCTGCCTGCTTTATATTCTGTCTGCACTGGCAGCTGATTAGATGGTGCCCACCCAGATTAAGGGTGAATCTGCCTTTCCCAGCCCACTGACTCAAATGTTAATCTCCTTTGGCAGTACCCTCACAGACACACCCAGGATCAATACTTTGCATCCTTCAATCCAATAAAGTTGACACTAAGTATTAACCATCACAAGTCCACCCCTTGTCAACTTGAACCCATACCCATCTCCTGAGATCATACATAATCTTCAAATAAAGACAATAATAAGGTCATAATTATGCTTAATAACCATACAACCAGAAATGCACCAATCTCAACCCAAATACTATTACATAAAGTTAACAATACTTAAATGCTGATATGAAGTCAATAAATCTTATGTCACATGATAAAGAATAGGAAATAAAATGAAGATATTTTCTTCGTACAAGTGTATACATGCACAAACATGTTTTTAACAAAAGAAGGAAGAAATACTCATGACAATTACAGTCCTCGTTTCTACAACTGGTCATGTGGTCATAGCTGGTATTGATGACTACCACCTTCTACTACCCATTCTGTATTTGCTTTGCCTTCAACAAGCACCTCAGCTGGTCATGTTTTTTTCCTGGTGGAGTGACCCAAACCTTCATTCCTGAAGGGCCTGGGCCATTTGTAGTCCTGCCTGGCTTGGGCTGTTGTAGTTTCCCACTGACCTTAATCACAGGGCATGGTAATGCTAAGAGACACCCTAATGGATTTCCTGTATTCCATGTATACTCTTCCTTACCTCCATTGTGGAGTAGTAGACTGATTTCAATTTGATGGTCCAGGTCAGTCACACCAGCTAACCCCAGCCAACACTGTAACTCCCTTCTTAGCCTGTTGACTTAAAGGTAGGAGGAGCCCAAAGTGTCCAGGTGGCAATCTTAACTTCCAGTTTAATGGAATTGTTGTTGCGTCCTCCTGGTGGCAGTATTCCTCCCTCTGGAACTAAGACCTCTAGGCCAGCAGAACATAATGTTGCAGGAGCAGGAAGCAAAAGTTTTGCAAGTGGATCATTAGGGGTGATGGAGAGTGGTGCCACTTCCACTTCCACCCCTTGATTTCTGGACCTGTGAATCCTGGCTATGGGATAAACAGTACCATATACTGGATGCTGATTCAGAGCATATATGGCCTTCTGGAGAACTTTGCCCCAGCCCTGCAAAGTATTGTCACTTCGTTGGCATTGTAATTGTGACATCAAAAGGCCATTCTACCATTCTATCAATCCAGCTGCTTCAGGATTATGAGGAACATGGTAAGACCAGTGAATTCAATGAGAATGAGCCCACTGCTGCACTTCTTTAGCTGTAAAGTGAGTGCCTTGGTCAGAGGCAATGCTATGTGGAATACCATGATGGTGGATAAGCATTCCATGAGTCCATGGATGGTAGTCTTGGTAGAAGCATTGCATGCAGGATAGGCAAACCCATATCCAGAGTAAGTGTCTATTCCAGTGAGGACAAACCTCTGCCCTTTCCATGATGAGAGGTCCAATATAATCAACCTGCCAACAGGTAGCTGGCTGATCACCCCCAAAAATGGTGCCATATCAAAGTCTCAGTGTTGGTCTCTTGTTGGCAAATTGGACACTTGGTGGTAGCTGTAGCCTGATCAGTCTTGATGAGTGGAAGTCCATGTTGCTGAGCCCATGCATAACCTCCATCCTTGACACCATGGCTACTTTGTTCATGGGCCCATTGGGCGATGACAGGGGTGGCTGGGGAAAGAGGCTGAGTGGTGTCCACAGAATGGGTCATTCTATCTGCTTGCTTATAAAATCTTTCTCTGCTGAGGTCACCTGTTGGTGAACACTCACATAGGATACAAATATCTTCACAGTTTTTGCTGACTCAGGGAGGTCCATCTACATACCTTTTCCCCAAACTTCTTTGTCACTAGTTTTCCAGTCATGCTTCTTCCAAGTCCCTGACCATCCAGCCAAACCATCAGCTACAGCCCATGAATCAGTATATAATCACACATCTGGCCATTTCTCCTTCCATGCAAAGTGCACAACTAGGTTAACTGCTTGAAGTTCTGCTCATTGGGAAGATTTCCCTCTGCCGCTGTCTTTCAGGGATGTCCTAGAAAGGGGCTGTAGTGCTGCAGCTCTCTACTTTCTGGTGCTACCTGCATACCATGCAGAACCATCTATGAACCAGGCCCTAGTCTTCTCTTTCTCTGTCAACTGATCATAGGGAACTCCCCATGAGACCATCAGTGCAGGCTGGGGGAGAGCAGACAGGATCACAGGAGTGGATGGGCATTTGAGCCATTTTTTCATATAATTTACTTGTGCCTTCCGGGCCTGTTCGAACCCGATCACATATATACCACTTCCATTTGTTGATAGAATGCTGCTGTGCATGACCCACTTTATGGCTAGATGAGTCAGAAAGCACCCAGTTTATGATAGGCAGTTCAGGTCACATGGTGACTTGACGACCCATAGTCAAATGCTCAGTTTCTGTCAAAACCCAGTAATAGGCCAAGAGCTGTCTCTCAAAAGGAGAGTAGTTATATCTGCAGAAGATGGCAGGGTCTTGCTCCAAAATCCTAAAAGCCTTTGCTGTGATTCACCTATGGGGGCCTGCCAAAGACTCCAAACAGCATCCCTATCTGCCACTGACACTCAAGCACCATTGGATCTGCTGGGTCATTTGGCCCAAGTGGCAGAGCAGCTTGCACAGCAGACTGGACCTGTTGCAGAGCCTTCTCCTGTTCTGAACCCACTCAAAACTGGCAGCCTTTTGGGTCACTCGATAAATGGGCCAGAGTAACACACCCAAATGAGGAATGTGTTGCCTCCAGAATCCAAATAGGCCCACTAGGCATTGTTCCTCTTTTTTGGTTGTGGGAGGGGCCAAATGCAGAAACTTATCCTTTACCTTGGAATATCTCAACAGGCCCCCCACATCACTGGATCCCCAGAAATTTTACTAAGGTAGAAGTTCCCTGAATTTTAGTCAGATTTGTTTCCCATCCCCTGGTACACAAATGTCTCATCAATAAGTCCACTATGTTTGCTACTTCTTGCTCATTGGATCCAATCAGCATAGTGTCATCATTGTAATGGACCAGTGTGATGTCTTGTGGAAGTGAAAAGCAATCAAAGTCTCTCTGAATAAGATTGTGACACAAACCTAGAGAATTGATATACCCCTGAGGTAAGACAGCAAAGGTATATTGCTGGCCTTACCAGCTGAAGGCAAATTGCTTCTGGTGGGCCTTATGGACAGGAATGGAGAAAAAGGCATTTGCCAAGTCAATGGCTGCATACCAGGTAAGAGGAGATGTGTTTATTTGCTCAAGCGATGAAGCCATATCTGGTACAGCAGCTCCAGTTGGAGTCACCACTTGGTTAAGCTTGTGATAATCCACTCTTATTCTCCAGGATCCATCTGTCTTCTGCACAGGCCAAATGGGAGAGTTGAATGGGGATGTGGTGGGAATCACCACCCATGCATTTTTCAAGTCTTTGATGGTGGCACTAATAACCATCCTTCCAGGGATGCAATATTGTTCTTGATTTACTATTTTTCTAGGTAGAGTGCAGATCTAATGGCTTCCACTTGACCTCTCCCACCATAATAGACCTCACCCTACCAGGTAGGGAGCCAATGTTGGGGTTCTGCCAGCTGCTAAGTATGTCTCTGCCAATTATGCATTCTGGCACAGGGGAAATGACCACAGGATGAATCCAGGGACCCACTGGACCCACTGTAAGTTGGACCTGAGTGAAAACTCCATTAATTACCTGTCCTCCATACTACTAGAAGCAGAGTCCTTAGCATTTTTAGGTCTAATCATATTAAGTAGCCAGCTCCAGGAACCCCCAAACCAATGGAAGAACTTAATATTCCTTAATATTCTGTTCCTCTAGAGCCAATCCTGGTATGAAAATCTGTATTAGTTCAGGGGTTCTCTGGAGAAACAGAAATAATAGAATATATATGTGTGTGTGTGTGTGTGTGTGTGTGTGTGTGTGTGTGTGTGTTCATTAAGTAGTATTAACTCACATGATCACAGGTCCTGGAATAGGCCATCTGCAAGCTGAGGAGCAAGGAAGCCTGTCTGAGTCCCAAAGCTGAAGAACTTGGAGTCTGATGTTTGTGGGCAGGAAGCATCCAGCACAGGAGAGGATGCAGGCTGGGAGGCTAAGCCAGTCTAGCCTTTTCATGTATTTCTGCCTGTTTTATATTCTGGCCACACTGGCAACTAATTAGATGGTGTCCATCCAGATTAAGGGTGAGTCTGCCTTTCCCAGCCCACTGACTCAAATGCTAATCTCCCTTGACAACACCCTCACAGACACACCTAGGATCAATACTTTGGATCATTCAATCCAATCAAGTTGACACTCAGTATTAACCATCACACAAAGTAAGTATACACTGGAGTATGAAAAATATCCAGATTCTTCCAGGATTCTTAGACAGGGACTATGAGCCCACATTAATTCTTGGGAGCCCAGAATACTACTACATTCAACCAGTCAGAGTGGGAATTTACTAGGTTCAGGTGATAAATAGAGTTCTGCTTTGAGTGTGCCTCACATGAGCTGTGTCGGACCCTGATTCTATTCCCATTCTATAGTTGTTTTTCTATTCCCTGACTGTACAGAAGGAATATACAACCTCAGAAACTAGAAAAATTCTTATCTTGGCTCTGTGAGTATTAGATAAAGGAATGATATGGTAGAAAAGGCCAAATGGAAGTCTCTGGAATTCTCCCATTCTGCTAAAAACCATAAATTTAAAGCAATATTCTATTTTTTGGGGGAACTTATAGTGATTAGTGCTTCCATTAGAGAAGTAAACATTGTGGGGATGGGAATTCTTATATTTATTTCTCCATGTATGTTCAATGCACAATATAAATAGATTTTTGGAGTGACATAATACTAATCTTATAAGAAAGAAAACTATAGACATTCTTACTATGTATTTGATACAGATATCTTAAATAAAATTATAGCAAACTGAATACAGTTATATGTCAAAAGAATCACCCCTAATTACTAACAGTGATTTATTCTAGGAATATAAAGATAGTTCCTTTATTCCACAATAAAAACAAATTGATTAACATAGTACATCACAACTCTAGGCAAAACAACAAGAGCTACACAATGTTAGTAGGTGGTAAAAAGGTGTTTAATAATATGCTATTTCAGATTTTGAAAAACAAACTAAGAGTAGGATTTTTGCAATGTGCTGAAAATGAACTATTTAAAAATAATCATGATGATACTTAATAGTTAATAGTGAAATATTAGGCTTATTGCCACCAAGATCAGGAATGAGATATTTTTACGTAACTTTTTTTCTGAAAGTTCTGGACCACACAATAGGACATCAAACAGAAATAAGAAACATAACTATTGTGAAGGAAGAGACAAAGACATGATGATTTTCATGCATTTATATTCATAGAAAGCCTGGAAATATCAACCATAGAACTCTTAGAATGAATGAGTTTAGTGAAATCACCACATATGAGGTAAATATATAAACATTAATAGATTTTATGTAGTAAGTAGAACAAAAAAATTTTTAGGTGATGTGATAGAGAAAAACACCTAACTTATAATTGTGACAATAAAAACAGTATATTTTTAAAGCATGAAGAAATTTAAAAATTATACAGAGTAATACAAAGAATATTTTGATAACTAGAGTGACACAGCTTGTTCTATATTGTTGAATGAGAAGACTGACTAGCACAAAATTGTCTTATTCTCTTAGAATGCTGTGCTCAGTTCATTCTAAGTCTTTTCAAGTGGGAGATAAGAGATTGGGTCTGATCATGAACCAGTCATCATTACCTCTTTGCAATACAAGTGCCATAATATAACCTATGGATAATATAACACCATGACTCTGCTAGCAGGATAGGAAACTGTATGCAGGACCTTGACATTCAATTGAGATACGGCTTGCAAAAGACATGGTAGGAAGACAGAAGAGACTTGGTCATCTTCCACTTGAGTGCTCCCATTCCTTGTCAGTGCATCACCACAGACAAGCAGATACCCACTACTGCCACTCAAGGAAACTGGTAAATACTTGGGAAGCCTCAGTCAGCTTGATATCCTTAGGTAGTTATAACTGGCTTCATGAGTGATCACACAGGGAACCACATTCAAAAAGGGCCCACGGGCTGGTTGTGGTGGCTCATGCCTATAATCCCAGCACTTTGGGACTTTGGGAGGCTGAGGCAGGAGGATCACTCGTGCCCAAGAGCTCAAGATCAGCTGGGGCAACATAGCAAGACCCCATCTCTCAAAAAAAAAATGTGGTGATGCATGCCTATAGTCCCAGCTACTCAAAAGGCTGAGGTGGGAGGATCGTTTGAGCCCAAGAGTTTGAGGCTGCAGTGAGCTATGATTGTACCACTGCATTCCAGTCTGGGTGTCAAAATGAGATTTTGTCTCCAAACAAAAAAGGTGGGGCTCACACTTAGTGTATTGCTTTGCTGTTGCCATCTTGAAATTCTTAAGAATTTTTGAACAAGGGGTTCTGATATTTCATTTTGCACTGTACCTCATAAGCTAGATAGCCTGTACTGCACACTACAGTAAAACACAACTTGTATGAGATGTCAGAGTATTCACATTTTTTCTGTCCTCAAACTCAGCTGCTACAGGACAAATTCAGTTTAGTACTATCTCAATCAAAATTATCCTTTTAGGACCTCCTAACAGAGGTAGTTCAAGAACAGCAAGGAGTTCATGGTGACTAGAACAGGGAGATGGGATAAGAATAATAGGCAGAAGGTGCTACCAGAGAGGTAGGTTGAGGCTAGACTCTGAAGAGGTTTGCATACTATGCAAGGAATTTGGATTCTATCCAGTCGACAATGAGGATGATGTGAAATAGTTTTTAAATTATAAAAATAAAACACACAGTAAAACTGAAAGAATTTTAACATTGAACAACTGTATACTCACCATATAGATTCTATCATTAACATTTTATCATACTTTAAAAAATTACATAGCTCTAAAAGATTTTCAGCAGGGAAGCAGGATCAATGCAAAGGATATGGAAGATGCACTGGAGGCAGAGAGATGGGTGGAAAGGAGACCAATTAGGAGGCTCTTCCAATATTACATATAACACAAAATCACATGAAAAAATGATTTCCTTTAGCTCAAAATACTCATATTACAAATCATAGTATTCAGAATGCTTTATTACGTCCTGATATTTTGGTTTTCCAGAGTAAAATTTTGAAGCCAGTCTGAATTTTGTTTCTTTCAAGATAACAACCCCCATGCTTCCCTTAACTACATGATTAACAAAAATTCCAGATATCTAGGTTTGGGCTTGTTTATCTTAATTTTTCTGGGTCAAATTTTTTTTTAAAAGTAATTTTTTTTTTTTAGCTCTGGGAAGTTTTCTTCAGTTATGTCTTTGGTTATTTTATCTTACTCAAGATTTCTGAAATTATCTCATTCTTAAATTATATCGTACTTTTCTTTCTCTTTTTCATTATTTACTTAATTAATTCAAAATTATTGACTTCTCCTTTGAGTTCTTAGAGACTTCAGTTTTCCCTCTATATGAGTGTCTTGATTTGTCACAATACCAATTCTATTTCTAACAGGGATATTGTTTCTGTTATTGCTTTCTAATCTTACCTGGCTCCTGTTTTAATCTCAGTTAACTGTCTTGCACCTTATCCTATTATCCTTTTACCTCTCCTTTCTTTTTAGTCTTTTATTTATTATTACACTTATTATTTTTGTTTTATAGAAGTCATGCCATCTTGAATTCCTTTGGAAATTTATTGTAATATAATAAAATTATCTTTTGGTTTATATGTTATTTTTCAAAGGTATCATGTCTTCTTGGATTACTAAGGATGATGCCATCCTTCCCTCTAGCTGCAATTTTACTTCACATGCTCTATATTGGATTTTTCTTTTATTCATGTGCACATAAGGGAATATCTCTCCAGACTTGTATTTGAATAGGCAGAATGCATGGATTGGCTAATGACTTTATTGGCTTCTTGGGTACAGATAAAGCTATTCTTACATCTAGAACTATGGGCACACTGTTGTGAACATATTCTGGTCCACATACCATGGATATTATTCTTTTACTGACTACCAATGATATAGGTTGAAGTGAGATCATATACTGTACAACCACCTGGTTCTCTGATTCTGTGAACCAATGGAGTACATAAAAAATGGCTATCTCCATCATATACTGTCGTATTCACCTCATAACACTTTGCCTACTAAAATGCAATGGGTCACTGATACACCCCATAAGTCAAAGAGAGTTAGATTATTAAGCTGCAGGTCAGTGACCACATGTAGTATTATATTGCCCAGCTTATAATCATATTGAAAGATGACTTAGAGAGTATTGATGATAATGATTTTGATTATATAAAACAGATCTTTTCTACCATGTGTAACTTTAATTTGGCCCTTGCATTTATGATTTCTGGAGTTATATTCTTTGGTATGTGCTGAATCTCCTTAGATTAACTCCCTAGGGGAGTCTAAGGTCAGGACAGATGCCCAGTGGGAGAGATTTCTCCTCCTATTCCTTCTACACATGAACATTTCCCTCCACTGTTTTGCAAGTGAGGGTTGTCTCATCTACCTTTAAGATTTATTAATCTTACCTGTGCTGAAAAATTCCCAAGTGTGTGCATTCCTGCTGATGGCCAAAGTTGTATTTCTGACTAATCTCAACATGCCTGTTTTTTGAGTAGACATCAGATGTGCCACAGGGGTGGAGCATGTGTACTAGGTATTTGGGTGGAGGTATAGAAAACTCAGGGTTTTGGGGTCAGGGGAAAGAAAGGGAGGAGACTTAAGGGAGCATATGTAACTTGGATCTTAGAGCTTATGGTGTTCATTATCCACTAGGACAAAGAAGGCTTAAGGAAGGACAGTAATGCAAGGCAAATTTATTTAGAATGTGTAGTAAATCCAATTTTTCTCCCACACAGCTGTCTAAAGAGCTTTGTGAAAGAGGTAAAGTTGTATTAATATTATGATTAAAGATCTTTCCTAGTTCCTCATTTCCTAGAAGACAAAGTACAAATTTGGTAGCATGTCATTTATGGTTCCTCAGAGTTGGACTCTACCCATTGTTCCCCTATATGCATGTGTTATACTTCAGCTGCTCTAGGTATTCTTGCACACCTCCATACTTTCATTCAGGATGTCCTTTCTGATTGGAATGCTCTCTCTTCCCACCTTCATCAGTCTTCATTCTGTGTCAACAAATAATGGCTCCAATGCCATTATTTCAGCAGAGTCTTTCAATATTTCTCCACTTAGAATTATTTATTTCTCTATGCTTCTATAACATGATGATAAGAGAACTTAATTAGAGTTCTGTCAATTTGTCTCCTCCAATAAATTGAGTGTAATCAGGATGACATTTTGAATATTTGCAGTAGATATCAAAATAACTGATACTAATTTGTTCAGTGAACATATATTTATTCAACACCCACCATATGACACACACTGTACTTGGCCCTTGGAATGTAGGAATGAACAACGCAGAAAAGGTTCCTGACTTCATGAAGGTCACAGTTCAGCGATGGGATGATACATGACAAATAAATAAATAATTTCAAATGGTGACCCAAAGCAGCTGCTTACAAAATGTTTGATGAATTAATTTTTTGGATGAATATTTGGTACTATCAGAGAATAAAGAAGTACAGTTTTTGCAGCAGTTACTTATGGCTTTAGAGCATTCAATACCCACAAAAGTCTGGGCATTATATGACAAAAAGCATTTTTTTAAGCTCACGTGCCTGTGGGTCAGCTCAGCTGATCTAGGCTGGCTTCACTCATATGTCTGTAACTGACTGAGTATAGCTCATCTAGATTGGGCTTGGTTGGTGTAACTCATCTGTCTTTTGCAACCAACAGGTTAACTCTGGCATAACATATAAGAGTGCAAGTCCCAGTAAACAACCCTATTGCAAGTCTTTGCTTGTGTTGTGTCTGCTGCCCTCCCACAGATCAAAGTAAGTCACATAGTCAAGCACCCAGTTAAAGGGTAAGGAAGTATAGCCCACTTAAAGGGAGGGCACCACAAAGTTACATGGCAAAGAATTATAGATTTATAATTCTGTTATTGGGTAGGAAATGAAAAATTGAAACAATAATCTAGTTTGCTTCAGGTCTCTTAATATGTATGACATAAAATGATAAGAAAGATTGGAGCCTATTAAATCCTCAAGCCAGTGCTTTGGTAACTCTCTTTACCTTTCCCTGTCTTTTCTTTATCCCCACCTTACCCAACCCTTCACCGCTACCACATACTTGCTCATTCGCTTGATCTTGGTTCATTTATGTACTCAGTGATGCTATGGTTTCCAGCATCTGCATTTCTTGCTTGAAAGACCCTTCCTCCCCACTGTGGGATATGTGTGTGTGTGTGTGTGTGTGTGTGTGTGTGTGTGTGTGTGTGTGTGTCCTGAGTTGCTTCAGAATAAACAAAATTAACGCCAGACTGAAGTTTGTGTATAAATACCATATTCACTCCCTCAAAGGGGAAACATCTGAGGTGACTCCTCTACAATGACCCCAGAGTTCTCCAGTGGAATCAAACTTCTGGCTTGGCAAGAAACCCTTCATTGACTGTCTCATGTCTCTGCTCCCCTATTGGAATTTCCTGGGATTGCTCCTACATAAACTACTTACATTCCCATCTTTGTCTTCGGGTCTGCTTCTGGGGGAAGCCAAATAAGAAAATATGTACTGAAAGTCTACTATGAGTGGAAAGTAACTTACTCTAGTAAGTTAATCCTGAGAAGTTGTATTTGTTACTATATCACGTTTTTAAAAAAATCAAATAGGTAATAAAGAATGTGAGCTTTGCAATCAGACAGACCTGGGATCTAGCACTTTCTCCACAACTTACTTTCCTAACCTTCCTGAACTTCAGTTTTCTCATCTGTAAAATGGAGATAATAGCCCTCTCCTAGTGTGAGGAGTAGATGCAATAACACCAGTAAAGTGCCATCTACAGTACCTGACACATAGTAGTATTTAGTAAGTTGTAGCTATCTTTATTGTTAAGGCACCTGCTCCTTTCAGATAATAGTAAAAATAACATTTATACAATGCTGTGAGTAGGCATTATCTTATCACATGTTCATTGTAAGTGTATGAACAGGTATTATTATTTTTATCAGACACATTTTACAGAAAATGAAGCTAAAACTCAGAGAAGCCCAGAGACTTACCCTGTATCACTTAGCCAGCACTGGTATCGGAAACAGCTTTTCTGACTTCAGGATTTGTATTCTTTCCATTATACCTTGTCTTCCTTCAGCCATTTTAGTTATTTATTCTCCGCCTTGCCTCATCTAAGTTCCTTAAAGACAGGAATAGATTCATTCTCCCCATGGATTTCTGGGGCTCCACTCAGGGAACTTGGTTATTGAGAAAGGAATTAAATAACTGTCGGGGGAAAGACAGCTCATAGGAGAATGTAATAAATCCAGCCAAGAAAGCACCAAGGGCAAAGACACATGCAAAACTGGTACCAGAGGTCAGGCCTGTAGGCTGTTGCTTAATAAAATTAACAGCTCATATTTGTCTAGCATTTTACTGTTGTCAAAGTAGTTCCTGATGTTTAATCTTACTTGATTCTCGCCACAGCCCTGGGATCTGAGGTGACTTCCTTTGTCAGCATTCTTATGGCAGGAAACCGAGGCTCAGATAAAACAAAGGATCGACTTAAAACAATCCAGCTAGTAAATGTTGGCGCTAAAAGATTTGGGAGAGTTTGGAACCCAGATCTGTTGCCAACTTCCAGGGTTTAGTAGGTAGAACATTTTCCTATCCTTTAAACTACAAAATCATGAGTTTCTCCATTACAGCACTGGACCCTAAATGGTCCCTAAATGCAGCTTCCCTAATCACAATGGAGAAGTCACTTCTCTTGATCTAGTCCTAGCTTTTTCCTAGAGAAAATTTTCCTTTTTCGCCTTTGCCTATCTTTAGTTCCTAGTCAAGATCAGAACAGTCCTCACAGGGGGCAGGAAAGAGGCCACAAGGAAGGTCTTGGCATGAGCACAGATCTGCCCATTTGTTAATGAAGATCAGCTGGGCCTCCTGAGCCTCTCCTCTGCCAGAAGCAGGGAGGTGTCTCACTGAGTTAAAAGCACAGCTTCAGAAGAGACATTTCTCACCAGGACCTAGTGTGGCTGCCTGGGCAGGGTGGAATCCCTGGGTCTCCTGAGAAAAGCCTTCTATTTATCTATTGTCCATCCACCTCTCGTCTACCCACTGGGAAGCACAGTAATGAAGACAGGGAGGAGGAGGACCAAAGCTGCCATGCCATGCCTCTTCCACATGAGAAACAGCTTCCTGCTTGTAAATAGCAGAGGGTCTGGGGGAAGACCAAGCTTTGGTAACACATCAATCCAGGGAACTTTTATATCAGTTGCAGAATCTGGGTGTTTATTTTTCTTTGCTTGTATTGCAAATTTATTACAAGCTGAGAAAAAAGCAGACCTCTTGTTTTTTTTCAGTTGGCCTCTCACTCTCTTCCCCAAAAGGTCTGGGTTTCCCTCAAAGCTACCAAGTGCTAATTTGAAAAATATGTTGCTGACAAGCAGGAGAAAAGCAGGCATCCAATGTGAAATGCCCTTTGGGGCATGAGGGAGCTCCCAGAGAGAGAGAGAGAGAGACAAAGATAGAGAGAGAGAGTGTGTGTGTGTGTGAGCATGCCAGGGTTGCATGCACTCTGAGCAACGGAAGGAAAGGGGAGCAGGAAGAAAGATGGGCCGGTGGACCCTAAGACACAGGAGCCCACATGCAGTTGGATAACATTGTAAACTGCTGGAGAAACCCTCCATTGCATTTGAAGCATACACAAATTTCA
The DNA here is from genome assembly GCF_000001405.40 of Homo sapiens. Lineage (NCBI taxonomy): Eukaryota > Metazoa > Chordata > Mammalia > Primates > Hominidae > Homo > Homo sapiens. Next base: position 106,053,152 of record NC_000009.12, read on the forward strand.
TTGTTGGTGTTATTCACTGCTGCTTCTGAGGAACCCATATGTTTTCTCCTCATGAATATGTCACTAATTAGTTTCTGATTTTCCTTTGTCTATTGGGAAACTTAGGGGAAAATTTAAAAACAGTTATGGTAGGGATCCCATCACCTGCTTAACAATATTCTGTTTTTCTCTTGACTTGTCTCTCTCATTCTAATTCAATTTCTTTTTCTTTTGTTGTGATGATTTAGAAACAAATAGTTTACTATTTTTGTATGTTATATGAATGGCTTCAAAATCTTTGTCTAATGAGGTGATATATAAGTAAATAAAAAAAATGTATGAATAAGCCTTGCTAGAGCAACCTTTGAGTGAGCAAATTAAGGGGATGAGTGAGCAAAGGCAGGAAATCCCGAAACTGACTTCAGGCTTTTTCTCATATATATCCAATTCCATAACCTCATTTCCTAGCTTCTACCACCCTTGAGAAAGACACTACGAATGGAGACAACATTCATGAAAAAGCTAAGAGAAGTGGCCATAGTGTATGGCTGCTAACCTTGTGCTCTTCTTGTCGGCAGACTGCCAAAGACTAAGAGCACAGAATTAAATTAAATGTGAACATTTCAGAGAGCTCTTCCCCTGGATTTGTCTTTGGGCTTTCTTTCTTTTATTTTTTAATTATACTTTAAGTTTTGGGATACATGTGCAGAACGTGCAGGTTTGTTACATAGGTATACATCTGCCATGGTGGTTTGCCGCACCCCGTCGACCCATCATCTACATTAGGTATTTTTCCTACTGCTATCCCTCCTCTAGCCCCCAACCCCCTGACAGGCCCCAGTGTGTGATGTTCCCCTCCCTGTGTCCATGTATTCTTATTGTTCAACTCCCAGTTATGAGTGAGAACACAAGGTGTTTGGTTTTCTGTTCCTGTGTCAACAAATAGAAAAGGCTCATCATCACTGGTCATTAGAGAAATGCAAATCAAAACCACAATGTGATACCATCTCACGCCAGGTAGAATGGTGATCATTAAAAAGTCAGGAAACGACAGGTGCTGGAGAGGGTGTGGAGAAATAGGAACACTTTTACACTGTTGGTGAGAATGCAAATTAGTTCAACCATTGTGGAAGACAGTGTGGTGATTCCTCAAGGATATAGAACCAGACATACCATTTGACCCAACAATCCCATTACTGGGTATATACCCAAAGGATTATGAATCATTCTATGATAAAGACACATGCACAGATATGTTTATTGCAGCACTGTTCACAATAGCAAAGACTTGGAACCAACCTAAATGCCCATCAATGATAGACTGGATAAAGAAAATGTGGCATATATATGCCATGGAATACTATGCAGCCATAAAAAAGGATGAGTTCATGTCCTTTGTAGGGACACGGATGAAGCTGGAAACTGTCTCCGGACTTTCTAACTTCTTCAAGGCAGTCTGCTTTTTTTAAGTATTGGAAACAGCATTGGATTTTAAGGCCAAAGACTAAAAAGTTTCTTGCTCCAACTTTGAGGACTTGGGCCTGACCTCTCTGACTTTCTGCAAAGAAGAGAAAATAATAACTTAACATGATTAATTTAAATATCAAGTGAAAAGGTGAAAATGCTATGTAAATTAAGCAAATCTCATTACAAAGCATCAGGAATTCAGGATTCTTTACAATTTTTCCCCCTCACCATTTGTGATCTTATTACACAACACACGCCCTCTACCATATCCAGTGGCTCCTGTGCACCAGTCAGTTTTTGGCCATGCCTCTGCCTGGGGTGCCTGTCTCTTCCCTTTGCTTCTGTGATCAACTCCTATACAACCTTTAAAGTTCAACTAAAAAATCACCACCTCGATGAAGTCATAGCCCTGCCATTCACAAAGTAAATGTTACTTTTTCTCTGCTCTTGGTCCATACTTGGTTCATGCTATTAATGTTGCTCTAGTTGTATTGCAGTTGGTTGTTTCCTGCTTACCACCTCTCAGTGCAGCTTCTCACTGGCAGGAACTGTCATTCACCTTTAAATCTCTAGCACATTGAGGCACATCCAGCTTCCAGATGTTAAAACAAATTGCAAACTAAACATAGGGTTTGATACCTTTGAGTAGAGAACAAACTTTTCTCAATATCTGTGTGTACCTTACATATATTTTGTGCTATGAAAATGCAAGCTGATAAAAATGAAATGCCAGGCAATAGCATTGAAATGGACTGTTTCTTTTATGACTATCAAATGGGGACGGGTAGATGCTCTCAATTTCCTCTGAAAACTAAAATATATTCCTGATTTCCAAGTCTAAGGCCACATTAATACATGACTGGAGCACTGGGGACATTTTATTTTTAGAAAGGAAACAAGGCAGATTGGACCATGGTGGGAACAGCAGAGCAGAGAGATTTGGAGTTCAGGCTGTGGCATCAACTGGGTAGGCAATTTAATTTCCTTGTGTTCCCACATTTGAAAAATAGGGATAATAATAGCAACTACCACTTTGGTTTGTTTCAAGAATTAAGTGAGATAATACATGAAAAACACAAAGTATGGTGTCTGGCACATGGTAAGTGCTTAACAAATGTAATTTCTTCTCACAATTAAATTGCAACCTCATTTTCACATAGAAGGTCTAAATAGTCCCTGAGCTTTCAGAGTTATGATAGCTCAATTGTTGCCTTCCTCCCTTCTAAGCGGACCTGTGTACTTGCATTGTGTGAAAAAGAGGAACCTTTGCTGGGCTGCAGTGGCTGCCACAGGAGTGCTGGGGCCCACAGGTACTCTGACTGAAGGCCCATGGCCCAGCATCGCTCTATTCATACCTCATCAAAAGCATGAACTCATATCTGGATGCAGCACCTGGGGAGGAGCATCGACAAAGAGGCCCATGTTCAGAAACATTTCCCTATCTGTATCATGAAGGTGACAATCCCTATGTTATATAGTTTCTGGAAAGAACACATGATATAAAGTATGTTAAGTTGCCTCATAAATAAAAAAGAGAGCTGGCTATATCTTTGTTATTTAATAATAACAACCTATGGCTGAATTTAGTCCCATGGACAACAATATCAAAACAGTCAAGTGTACTTGAATGGCTATCCACATTATACTAGTAATAGCCATCAAGCCCATGTGTGGGGTATAGTCCCAGGCACGGAAGAATTGTGAGAGAAGATAGATTTCAAGGGTGTCTTTCAGCACTTTGTGCTAGGTGTGAAGTTTATCCAAACAAAAAGAGGGGAGAAATTCTTCTAGGCTACAAATGAAACTTGGAGTAATCTCTCCCCATTGACAGGGAACCACTATAACCTCTGCTGACCTAAGAGAGCTGCTCCTTGCATTATGTAAGGTTGTCACAGAAATATTGCATTCACTTAGCCAAGGGAGCTGCATCAGCATTTTAGAAGATTGCTGAACTCAACTATTTACAGAGCCCTATGTCTTCTCCCAGACAGGGTACCACAGCAGTGGTGAGGATGAGAGGGAACAAGACTGTTGGAGCAGAGGCTTGGTGATTTAAACTCAGCCCCTGCTCACTTTGATAATGGGCATCAAAGCAGGAAGGATCTTGTCCTAATTTTGAGTGTTCTTCATTTGGGAAATAGCTATATTCATGAAGATTCGTGTGCAAGGAAGATTTTTAGAATCAGATGATTTAAAAGCTGTTTGAGAAGACCAGTATTTGAAGAAATTCATTGAGGACTCTGGAAATCTTTTTGTGATGCCAGTTTTAGATGCTTTGTACATTTGAAGTTTTGTAAGTTGGATTGTTTTTGAATGGTGGGCAATACTAACAAAAATGTGCTTGTTTTAAGCTTTACTACATATCTTGTAAATATTTGCTTGCTCGTATTACCTTTCCTTTGTGTAGAACTTTGTCAAGTATTGCAAAGTTCTCAATTTCATTGAAAATTAATTCAATTAAAGTAGCATGGATAGTTTGCTTTGCTTCAAGCGCTGTGTAAATCCAATTTTTTGGCATCTTACAAAGCAAAGGGGTTGGAAATTGATGTATATTTCACATATCTACAATATCCATGTCTCTCAAGTATTCCTTTGAAGTGTGGAGATAGCTGTTAAATATTCACAAAATGTTTCTATAAGATAGCTAAAGAATATGAAGTGTTTATTTAACATTACTTAATTTAATATGTTGGGAAATGAGTTTGCCTATAAGCTTTGCCTTGTGCCTCCATAAATGGAGCATCTATACTCTACCTGTTATTGTTCTGGATATTTCTATATTCCTTGTCTTATTTATTTATCTATCTATCACAACAGATATTATTTAATGTGCATTACAGATAAGGATCTGAGGCTCAGAAAATTTAAATAAATTGCTTGATGCCAGCAGTACAGTAATTTGCAGATCTAGGACTTAAAAGTGATTCTTTTAAGATTTATGTTTTTTTAATATAGTCATATAAACAGTGAGCAAAATTAACTAATGGTTTGAATCAAGAATGAAGGATATGGGAGTAGAAGGAAGAATTTTAAATTAGTGGCTGAAGATATAGTTGGCAAAGAATGGAAAAGCTTCTTACTATGGCTATCATAACCATATGGCTACCATTTATCAAGTGCTTACCGTGAGCCAGGCATTGTGCTAAGTGTTTCTCATTATGACTCACAAAATTCCCAGGAAGTACTCCCTTATTATCCAATTGCACAGATGAAGAAATTGAGGAACTGAGATTTAAATGAACTTGCCTCAGGTCATACAAATTAATAAGCAGGGGCATTTGGACTCAGACCTATTTCTATCTCCCTCTAAATTCATTCTCTGTCTGTAATACTCTGCGCTCACCATCCAGACTCTTGAAATGTAAAGGCTTTTGCCTGTTAATAACAAATTTAGGCCCCAGTCTTAGGGTTGTCCATAATATATAACATCACAAAACCATACAACAATGTACTTTGAAGCCTAACAACCAACATTTTCTTAACAGAACAAAAAAATCTTCTTTGTTGCTATTAAGGCAGTAAAAATATAGAAATTATCTTCCCTAAGATGTTGCAGAGGCTTAAAATATGGCAAGATAGCTTTTTAAGAATATATTTTTGTAAAAATTATAAGAACACAGTTAAAGTAGTCAAGGAATTTTACATAACTTACAACAGAAAACAGCCATCTCCAGCCTCCCATGCCCTTTCTGTTCCTACCCATTTCTACTTCCCAGAAGCAGCCACTTACATTTATGTTTGCCTCCATGTTTTAAATATAATGTATATACTGTTATTTCTTTTTTAAAGGTATTGTATTACTTTATTAGGGCTGTCATAACCAAGTACTATCACGGGATCCTTGGGGTATTGCTTCACCAGCTGGACACGTCTGTGGCCAGTGGCACCTTTTGCCTGAGTATTGCTCGTGCCCACCAGGCTCATTTTGCCCACTCAGCCCAGCAAACTGTGCTTGGCTCATGCTGCCAGCCTGGATCCCACACCTGCCAAGGTTGAGCCAGGTGTGGAGTGGCAAGGAGTGTGTGGTGGAGCAATCATGGGGTCCAGCCACTGCACTCAGCCAGGCATGCTGGCTGCTGTGGTGGGGTGGGCAGCTCCAGACACCAGCACAGGTGCCGGCTTCATGCGAGGCTGCGGCTGGACCAGATGTACTGCCCATGGCTTCTGTTGTGGGCACCCGTACCTGGACGAGGAGAGCACGGTGGTGCCCAGAAGCTTGGACATGCCAGGAACCACAGATCCCCCAAAGAGGGTGTGATAGACCTGGCTTGGGGAGCCCCTAGGTCTGGGCTCTCAAAGGGCCACAGCTCTTCTCTCCTTCTTGTCACCCACAACTTGATGAGTGGGGTGGGTGGGTGTGTTTCAGCCTCATTTGTGATACAGCTGTTTTTCTCAGTCCCAAGTTCTTGTTCTGCATCCAGGAAGAATGAGGTACATGGACAACTGGAAGGTGAGCAAGTTGAAAGGAGTTTCATTGAGTGACAGAATGTTTTCAGGAGACCTGAAGTGGGGTAGCTCCTTTCCACAGGCAGGTCATCCTGTCAAGTCTGCAGCTCTCAGTGGAGAGGAGACCCAGAGTGGGTAGCTCCTATTTGTAGGCAGGTCATTCCATCATCTCTACAGCTCTCAGTACAGAGGAGACCCAGACTGGGTAGCTCCTAACCACAGGCAGGTTGTTCCAATATCTCTACAGCCCTCAGCGGAGAAGAGACCTAGAATGGGTAGCTCCTATTCGCAGGCAGGTTATCCCAATGTCTCTACAGCCCTCAGTGGAGAGGAGACCCAGAGTGGATAGCTCCTATCTGCAGGCAGGTTGTCTGGTGGTTGGCCTGAGTCTGGTTGAATCCACAGTTTTTATGGGCTTCAGAGGGGAGGAAGTTGCCTGGTGATTTGTCCATGGGTGGGCCCAGAAAAAGCACTGTAAGTTCTCATTCCAGTCTGCAGAACTGGCAGCCTGGCCCCAAGGCTTCAGGCTATCCCTGGCTTGAAAGTGGGGCTTCACCAGGGACCCATCCCCTTCCACCCAGGAGCCTGTCTGCCCCCTGCCACCAGTTATATGTCATCCATGGTGCCCAGGCTGTTCATGATGAGGGGGCAGCTGCAGGTCTGCACCAAACCCCCCTCAGCTTCCCCTCGGCCTTTCTCCCATGCTCGTTGGTGCCCAAAGCTTGGAGGGGGCTGAGGTGGCAGGGGGTTGGTGTATCAGCACCACCCTAAGTGCGTTCATACCAGGCTGGGTCATGACAGCACCCAGGCTCGGCCACAGCTTTGCTCCGAAATTGGAGCAGGGAGAGCCCATACGGTGGGAGCAGGCACTTCTGAGCCTGTGGGGGCAAGAGGGCTTCCCAGGCCCCCAAGAATGTAGGGATGCTTGGGTCTGCAGCAGCAGCCAGGTGGCTGCTGCTGTGCCTGGGAGGGTGGGGCTCCAGCCCCTCCGTCTCAGAAAGGGGTGGGGCTCCCACCTGCTCTGCGGAGCATGCAGCCTTGACTGCACCTCCCCCACTGCAGCCGGTGTTACGCAGCAGCCGCTCCAGATGGGCCACTGCTGCCATCAGTACCACAAACTGGGTGGCTTAAACAACAGAAGTTCATTGTCTTACGGTCTGGAGGCTAGAAGTCCCAAATCGCTTGTCAGCAGAGTGGGTTTCCTCCAGGGCTGTGAAGAAGAGTGTTCCATGCCTGTTCCCTAGCTTCCGGTGGTTTGCTGGCAGTCTTTGGTGTTCCTTAGTTTGTGTATGCATTAACCCAATTACTGCCTTCATCTTCACGTGGCTTTCTGTCTGTCTTCTTCATGTGGTCTTCTCTCTGTGCATGTCTATCTCTGTGCCCAAATTCCCCTTCTTATAAGGACACCAGTCATATCAAATTAGAGCCCAACCTAATGACCTCCTTTTTACTTGATTACCTCTGTAAATATCCTATTATTATTATTTTTTATTTGAGGCAGAGTATTGCTCTTGTTGCCCAGGCTGAAGTATAGTGGCGCAGTCTTGGCTCACTGCAAACTCTGCCTCCTGGGCTCAAGCGATTCCCCTCCTTAGCCTTCCTAGTAGCTGGGACTACAGGCACCTGCCACCATGCCTGACTAATTTTTTATTTTTAGTAGAGACAAGGTTTCACCATGTTGGCCAGGGTGGTCTCAAACTCCTGACCTCAGGTGATCCACCTGCCTCCACCTCCCAGAGTGTTGGGATTATAGGCGTGAGCCCCCACACCTGGCCAAATATCCTATTTTTAATTAAGGTCACATTCTGAGGTACTGGGTATTAGGACTCTAATATATATTTTTCTGGGGACACAATTCAACCATACAGGTTATCATCCATTGTATTTTTACCATAAAATATGAGGATTTAGTTCTTATACTTCTTACATCTTCCTTCCATTCACTTTCACTTTTCCCACCTTCTGAGAATAATTTTTTTGTTATGACAAGATTCAGTGTTTACCTTATTATGACTGTACAAATATTATTTACATCTGAGTCATGTCATCAGTTTGATTAAATTTCCTTTCCTGTGCACTTGGTTTTCATGGAATTATTAATGGTCTTGTGTTCTTGTTTGCTTAGTTTCCTAAGCCAAAGGAGATCAGCTTCTAGACTATAACAGGAATTCTTGCAAGGCAAAAGGAAAATATGGGAAATGAAGAGAAACATGAACAAAAGTGTGAATAAGTAATTCAAAATTTAAAAAAAACTCTTATGATTAGCAAGCAGATGAAGAGATGCTCTAACCCACCGGTGATTAGAAAAAGGAAAATATAAAATATTACTTTATTCCTCTCAGTAAAGTCAGAATTGAAAAGCTGGATACTGCTAAGGGTGGCAGGTATATGATAATCATACAGGAACTGCAGAGTACCATGATGGAAGTGTAGATTGGGGTAGCAATTCTGGAGAGCACTCTGCCACCACTTAGTCAACTCCATCACACTTCAGGATCTTCATCCTACAGAAATTTCCTACTTTGTTTGTGGCAGTTGGAAATTGGAGACAATCTAGTTGTTGATCAATAAAGGACCTGGTAAATACATATGATGGATATACATTAAGGAATTCTTGTGAATTAGAAGCAATGAATTAGATGTATACGCTGTGCCATGGTTTGAATGTACCCCTCCAAAGTTCATGTGTTGTAAACTTGGTTTTCAATGGAGCAGTGTTGGGAAGTGGGGCTAAATGGAAGGTGTTTGGGTTATGAGGGCACCACCCTAATGAATGGATTAATGCTATTATCAGGGGAGTGGGTTTGTTTTTGTGGGAGTAAGTTCCTTATTAAAGGATGAATTTGGCCTTCTTATGCTCTCTTTCTCGCCTTCCCTTTGCCTTTCCATCTTCCACAATGGAATGATGTAGCAAGAAGGCCCTTGCCAGATGCTGGCCCATTGATCTTGGACTTCCCAGACTCCAGAGCTGTGAGAAATAAATTTCTGTTTATTGTAAATTACCCAGTCTATGGTATTATGTTGTAGCAGCACAAAACAGACTAAGACACAACAGCAATGTGGATAGATTTAAAAAATAGTTGGGTCAAAAAAGCAAAAAGAACCAAAAAAACAAAAGCAAAAAAACCCACCAAAAACAAAAAGAATTAGATATTTAGAAATACTACATGTGTAAATTAAAAATGTATGCAAATAATATAATACACATTTTAAAAGAACTTGTATAAATAAAATACACACATGAAACATATCAGGGGGTTTGCCTATGGGGGAATGGATATAAGGGGAGATACACAAATAAATAAGAAAGGGGCTGCACTAAGACCAATGCTGGTAAGCTAGAGATTGAAAAGTATGATTAACTCTACCATCTGCACTGAAGTCTAAAAACAGATTCAGTGTTTACATAATTATGACTAAATAAACATTATTTACACTTTATACATGAGTCATATAGTGTATTATGATTACATTTTCTTTGCAAGAGATCAGGGATATTACAGCTTTTTTTCCCTTTGCTGCATTTAATAATGATCCTTTTTTTTTTTGTTTAATTTGTTTTCTATGAATGATTGCTAATTCATCTCTAAACTCTTTGCCAGACATACATACCTCCTCCCTTTGTATTCAAATTCCTCAGTCTGTCAGTGTCATACTTTTAGTGACATCCTTCTTGTCACCTGCTATGGAATGATTGCATCCTCACACAATTCATTTGTGAAAGCCCTAACTCCCAATGGGCTTTCCCAATTTGGAGATAGGAGCTTTAAATGTAATTAAGGTTAAGTGAGGTCATAAGAGTAGGGCCCTAATTCATAGGACTGGTGGCCTTAGGAGAAGAGGAGGAGAAAGAGACCCCCTCTCTCTCTCTGCCATGCAAAAACACAGTAAGAAGGCAGCCATCTGCAAGCAGAAAGAGAGCCCTCAGAAGAAACTGACCATTCTGGATTTTGTTCTGGGACTTCTAACCTCTAGAATTGTAAGAAAATAAATATCTGGGGGCCGGGCATGGTGGCTTATGCCTGTAATCCCAGCACTTTGGGAGGCCAAGGTGGGCAGATCATGAGGTCAGGAGTTCAAGACCAGCCTGGCCAACATGGCAACACCCCGTCTCTACTGAAAATACAAAAATTAGCTGGGCATGGTGGTGCACACCTGTAATCCCAGCTACTTGGGAGGCTGAAGCAGGAGAATTGCTTGAACTGGGACCCCAAAGGCGGAGGTTGTAGTAGTGAGCCGAGATCGCGCCACTGCACTCCAGCTAGCCTGGGCTACAGAGTGAGACTCTGTCTCAGAAAAAAAAAAAAAAAAAAAGAAAGAAAGAAAGAAAGAAAGAAAGAAAGAAAGAAAGAAAGAAAGAAAGAAAATATCTGTTGTTTAAGCCATCCAGTCTGATTTTGTTATGGTAGCACAAACAGATTAAGATATTGGTACCAGCAAGTAGGGTGCTGCTGTAACAAATACCTAACACTGTGTAAGCAGCTTTGGAACTGGGTGACGGGTAGAGCCTGGAAGCATTTTGAGGAGCAAGCTAAAAGCCTATATTGCCATAAAGGAAATATTGGTAGAAATAGGGATGATAAAGGCAATCCTGGTGAAGACTTAAAAATAAAGGAAAACTGGAGAAAAAAGCCTTTATATTCTTAGAAACTATACAATCATAAACAGAATAATCGTGTTAACAGAAATGTAGATATTAAAGACCATTCTGTTGAGGTCTCAGATGGAAAGGAGAAATAACTTTTTAGAAACTAGAGGAAAGGCAATCCTTGTAATAAAGTGGCAAAGAACTTGACTGATCTATATTCTAGTGTTTTGTGGAAGTATAATTCATGTGTGATAAAATTGGATATTTAACTGAGGAGATTTCTGAGCAAAATGTCGAAGGTGCAGACTAGGTCCCCTTAACCACTTGACTGCTTGTAGTAAAATGAGAGAGAGAGAGACAGAGAGAAGCTGAAGAAGGAATTGTTAAGCAAAAAGGAACTAAAACTTGAGGACTTAGAAAATTCTCAGCTATACATATTACAAAAAGTAAAAAAGTTTGTTCTCAGGGAAACATCAAGGGTGTGGCTGAACAACCATTTGATAAGGAGATTAGTATGAAGGTGAACCATAAATTTAATCGGTCTCTACAACAGAAGCCAGGAATAGAGACGGCATTATATGAGTAGAAATATTGCCAATTTGAACTGAAGTGGGTGAAGAAGAAAATAGTGAAGAAAGGCTGTTGGGCTTCTTAGATTCAATAGGATGGGACAGCCAAGCTATTTTGAAAACGTGCTATTTTTCAAGAAAAGGGAAGAACAACCCTCAATTCCACTCCCCCACTGGTATCTCTCTTCTTTTTTTCTCTCTGAAAATCCCCTTATTTGTATACTAGGCCTCGCAGATATGGCTCTAATTTTCTTATCTGCCCCCCTACCTGACCAAATTCTATCTCTTTTTCTTTATTTTATACTTTTTGAGAGTTTTCCTCAACTTTATCTTCCAACTCATTCACTGATTTTCATTCTGCTCACTTATTTTTTTAATATCAAATCTCTCATGTTATACAAATTGGTTTTTAAAAAAATATATGCCTACTCTTACTTTATCCTGACAATATTCTTATTTCTGTGAAGAAGTTAGTTTTTGGAGATGTTTTCTACTGTTCTCTGCATTGTTTTTTCTTTCCTGTGTTCATTTACTGCTTTTTGTTTTGGTCTTTTTCACGTTAGAAGCTTTCCCTCAAGTATCTGGTGATGGGGGCCTTTTTGCTGAGAGTGAGATACTACAGTCTTGGGGGAAATGATCATTCTGTGAGCAGATGTTACTCGGTGAGTTTCACTGTATGGTGATCTGGCAGGGTGGTGCAAGGACCAATGCAACTATGAGCAACTTTAGGTCTTTTCTATCGCGTTGAGCACTTTTTTCAGATATCAATTTTCTGATCTCACTTCTAGGGGAGATATTCTTGGTTCCAGCATTCTTCTCACTGAGTTTGGTAAGAAGACTGATCTTCTCAGCATTTAGTAAGTCGACCTCACCTAATCTTTCAGTTTTCAGAATGAAATCCTACCCTTCAGCTCTGCTCAATAACCCTAAGACCAGCGTATCTGGTTCAACCTCTTCATAGAGTATACATCTAGTCTTCTACTGGAACAGGGGAAGAGAGAACCCATCTGCAGCTTATAATCCAGACTTTCAATTAAATCTTTTGTTTTTGTCCTATCTGCACCGCAACTTTCAAAGTATGAGGAGCCATAAATTCCTGAGCCTCCTTGGGTTCTTTCACATATATAGGGTTGGAATGCAAAAACGTCTTTGTCAGTGACTTCCTTTCTTTGGAGGATGACTATTAAGTCTGGATTTTTAATCAAATTTAGCATTTACAAAAAGTGAAATTCCTATATAAGAAAGATCCTTGTGGTGAGAACAATGCATATAAAACCTCTGTTGGAATGGAGAGATCTCTACTCACTACCATGATAGAATTTCATATATCCTATTTCTTCATTTCTTTCTCGTTTTCTCCTGACCTTTTTCTTGTTCTTCATTCTTATTTTGCTCCTCCTTTTTTCCCCTTACTTTCCCTTGCCTCTTCTCATCTTTTCTCTCCATTTCTTTCTTCTTTTGTTTGCTTAGTTTTAAAAATTCTCCTTCTCATTGTCTTCCTCGCACTTGTCCTCCTTGTTCATCTACATTCTCCTCAGGATTGTCAACACCTCAGTTGCATGAATTAAGTTTGATACTGTGCAGAGGCTTTCCAGAGTTACTAAAAATAGTGGCTTCCATTCCTTGGGGGAGCTTACATTTGCAAACATACATTTGCAAGCCTAAGGGTGCTTAGGACAAACTTGGAGTTCTTAGGCAAAATCTGTGGACTTCTGTTGGAATTGTTATTCTCCAAAGAATTCATAGGTGTCAATTATGGGATGATGGCAACAAAGCGGTGACCTCCCCTGGGACCTCCAACTCATTTCTTATAGGGCACTGAGAGCCCAGCAAGCACTGCAACTTTGTATAACTTTCCAACCTCAGACAAATCTGAACTGATGACCTGAGGGTGAGAGGCTCTGTATAACTTGATTACATTTTTTTTTAAATTCCATTTTTCTTGTGAAAAGACACCTTCAGAACACAATGTCAGTTTATCTCTGCAATTTTAGACATCAAATAGCTTATTTTTTAGTTCTCTCTGGGTCAAAGAACGTTATTAAGAAGAAAAATGTAAAAAATATTGGTTTTGTAACAATTCGGTATCTAAACTGAAGGCTCTAATAAACTCACAGAAATATTCTTGCTTTGAGATTCTTTAGAATTCTAAAGAAAGGATAAAAATATCATGTAGGACTAGAGTGCCCTACAATGTACACTAAAAAATAAAACTAAACAAATAACAGATTTTGAATGATAATGTGCCAGAATCCTTTATTTTTTTTTCGTAAGAAGTATCATGTAGCCTCCAGATGTCATGAATATGCCATTTTAGTATTTTATTTCTGTGGGATATCACTTTAGAATTCAGAGTGTAGATTTTTCACAAACAGGAAAGAAAGAAGTAAGAATTACTCCTTAACTTCTCTATTCATGTAAGAATCAACTGAGATGTTTGCTCCATTTCTCAGTGTAGACAAAAGACATTGGATCTTATTTCAGGGCCCCAGGATTAGAACTTCATCTCCAGATATTGTGAGATTGCTTCATCAAAACAGGCACATAGAAATTAAAACAACTGGCACAATGTAATGAAAATGAGCACACTGTTCTTTTTTTTAAGTAGATGGAAAAAAAATCAATATTTTGTCTTCAAGTGCTTATACCTATGCAGGAAAGAGAGGTGAAAAAAAGAATTGTTCCATCTGTAATTTCAAGCAGGGAAAATGAGTTACAAGCATATCAGCAAAATACAGACAGAAGTAGACCCAGCGAAGCAGAAGGAAAATGACTAACCACCATTTCGTCTTATTCCCATGACTGATTGGATGTAAACAAAACATTTTACCCCAAATGAGAGGCAAAAGGTCTGCCACTGAGCAGTGGCTACTTCTCAAGATATCTTTGTCAGCAAGATGGGTTCAAGTTATGATTTCACCGTTTCTATGATTGACGTTGTTACGGTTCTTAGAACAGTTACCATGGTAACAGAAGGGCCTTGCATGTATTTGAAGTAATTCACCTGACCTACTGCTCAAAATAAGGGAGGGCTGAGGGCTAGTATTTCTCCCAAGTATTCCCCGTGATCTGGCCAGTGCAGCCTGCAGTCTTGGCTCCAGTCTGAAGAGGCTGTCCAGGCAGTGCACATGAGGAAGGATGAGAAAAATAGCAAATTCCTGCATCTGCTTAGACAAACTCCAGCTTGAGGTTTTCTCTAGGGATTTATGATGTTGTCAGTAGCCTCTGGCGCTGTCTTCTACCTAAATATGGTCTTGATTTTTGCCATTTGCTTCCTGATGTCTCCTGGGGAGGCCCGCAGGAAGGATGCTTCCATCAATTTGTAGGAAGACATTTATGTCCCACCTTTGGGTCACAGAAAAATGGTGAGAGAGATTGAGATTGAGACAGAGACATGAAGCAAACTTATGGTGGTTGAATCACACTCTACCAGAAATGGTACCGATATCTGAATAAAACTAAAAATCAGCCAGTGTTTCCCAGCCCTTTTAGAACAGAGGATAAAACTCAGGGTGTCATGACTATCACAACATCACAGCATCTCTTCAACTTTGACACTGGTCAGATCTGTCTAAGACCCCAAAATGCACCACATTCTCCCCTTCAATGATATATGCCTCTGGACTATCCCATTCCTAATCTCTACGTCAGGATGCTCCCATTTCTTTTAATTCATGAGACTTAATTCAAGAAGGAGTGCTGGCAATCTCCTCACTCTTTGCTGCTGCTCTGGATAATTTTTCTTCCAACGCTCGTCAATCTTTTTTTTTTTTTTTTTGATTGACCTTTGGGATGCTCTTTTACTCTTCTTAGTGACCTTAGCACCTGCCTCGGCATTTTACTTCCTGACTTCTGACTTCTCTCCCACCCTATACTCAAGGAATTCAGTTTCACACTGATAACTCTTCTAATACATTGGTTCTCTCCCTTTCTTAGTCCTCTCAACTCTGATCACCTCCCTTTGTCCTCTAACCATAGTCACGAGGGTAAAAATAACTGCATTTTGATCTCACTTTCACCCCAAACTGAGATGCTTTTTCTCTTACCACAACTTTCTATCCTTTCACCTGATACACTCTGACTCTGATCAGCTTTCTACTAATCCTTATTTATATGGTTTGGCTGTGTCCCCACCCATATCTCATCTCATCTTGAATTGTAGGTCTCATAATCCCCACGTGTTGTGGGAGGGACCAGGTGGAGACAATTGAATCATGGCGGCAGTTTCCCTCATCTTGTTCTGGTGATAGTAAGTTAGTTCACACGAGATCTGATGGTTTTATAAGGCGCTTCCCCCTTGACTGGGCACTCATTCTTCTCCTTCCACCGTAACTGGAAGTTTCCTGAGGCCTCTCCAGCCCTGCAGAACTGTGAGTCAAACTTCTTTCCCTTATACATTGCCCAGTCTTGGGTATGTCCTTATAGAAGTGGGAGAATGGACTAATATACTTACAATGCCTTCAAGCTTGGGAACCACGCTGTGTTCTCAGAGACATGTCTTGTCCTTTTGGACATTCTTAGCTAGCACAGTTACTGTGGTTAATGAGTTCAGCTTTTTTTCTCAGCAGTAGTTTGGGCCTTCTCAAAACCTACACACTGAGGTGGATATGCTATAAACTCATTCATTCATCAAATATTGACTGAACAGCTGGCGTTCTCATAGGTATTGGGGTTATGGACCAGTTCTCTGTTTTCCTGGAGCTTATGAAATAGTGGATAAGCCAGATAATAAACATAAACACAAAAATACTGATTAAAGTGTTAGAAGGAAGTGAAGAGAGCGCTGTGATGATAAAAAGTGCATACTGAACATTTATATGGACCAGATACTACTGTAAGTCCTTTATGCTTATTGATTCTTTTAATCCTTCCGACCAGCCTCTGACTACATTATGTTTTTTCCATCTTATGGTGGAAAACTGAGTTACAGAACAATTAAGTTCACTTGCCTGGAGGTCACACAAGTGAGGGAGCTGGGCTTTGAAATCAGTGTCCTTAGTCTACCTTCTTAACCACTAACTCCTTGCTTTAGGGCAGCAGTCGTGGTATTTTCGTAGACAAGCTGGTCTTTGAGAGCTCCTTTGAGAAGAAGGCATTTAGCTTGAGGCTTCAGGAAAGAGAAGAAGCCCTTCATACTGACATAAATAAAAGAGCCAGGAAGGAACATTTCAGTGAGAACAAGTAGGGTGGAGACAGGCCTAAGTGTGTTTGAAAATGGAAAGGTCAATATGGCTAGACCACAGATGGGGAAAGAGAATGGCATATGATAGGGCTGGAGAAGAAAGCTGAGTCACATCTAAGATAATTTTGGCAGATTAAGGGATTTGTATTGTATTCAAAAGGCCATAGGGAACTGGAGTCAATTTTCACTTTTGGAATCTCTCTCTGGCAGATATGTGGAGAATGGATTGGGGGTAAATAGAGACATGGGAACAACTGGAAAACTTCTGCAGGACTCCGTTCTAGAGATAATTGTGCTTGGACCGTGGTGGCGGCGGTGCTGGGGATGGAGAAAGGTGGCTGTGTTGTTAGACATGCTTTGGGGATAGGACCAGCAGAACCAGGTGATGGGTTGATGTGGGAAGTGAGAAAGACAGAAAAAAGTATGGGTGTCAGATTCCCCGAGTCAAACTAGGAGACTTTTGTTTTTACTGAGCATATGAAGCCATGCAGCAGCCCAACCCTCTCTTTCATTTACCTTCTGAATCGGCATACATGCTTTCTCTTTTTTCCATATCAGGGAAAGTTGTCTCCTTATTCCCTTTCCATCCAGCATCTCCAAGCTGCAAATTTTGAGCCCCTTTTTCTGCCATCTTTATTGTTTTGCTTGATCTCTTATCCTCATTCTGTCATGTATTTTCAAGTTTTCCTCTCCTAGTGTGCTTTTTTTGCTTATATAACAAACTCAAGTTTTATTTGCTCTAACATAAACCCTTCTTTCAATGTTAATTATCTCTAGAGTTGTTCCCACAGTCCCTGCCTTCCTGTGAGAACAAGCTGTTTTAGTAAGTGGTCTATGGCTGTTTCTTTAAACTCTTTATGGCTGTTTGTCAGAACGGATGTTCTCACCTTGATGTCTCATGAGCTAAGAGTGATGTCGGGCCATCCTGGGTGCTATCCAGGCATGTGATTTATCCAACAGTTCCAAATACTTTGCCTCACATCATATTATTTGCTCTATTCCCACAGCCTTTCTTGGTAGCAGTTTACCAAAAGGCAAACATTGGCTGATGCAAGCACTTTGAGAAAAAGCTAATGCTTGCATCCTTGTAATTTCCTTTTTTAGGGATCTCCTAGAATCTAGGGTTTCTAAAGTTCATTAAGGCAAGCATCTCCCTTATTTCCGTGACACTTCCACCCCTCATAAAATACATGGACAATTA
The DNA here is from genome assembly GCF_000001405.40 of Homo sapiens. Taxonomy (NCBI): domain Eukaryota; kingdom Metazoa; phylum Chordata; class Mammalia; order Primates; family Hominidae; genus Homo; species Homo sapiens. Next base: position 106,070,584 of record NC_000009.12, read on the forward strand.
GAAGAGTTTTCCATTGAGATAATGAATAAATTATAGTGTGGCCTCTTCTGGTATGGCAAAAATATTAGCCATCTTAGTCACATGACCAAACACCTAAAATCATTTTTAAATACTCAGTGTTGAGTGGTCCTCCAAGTAGCATTAAGTAGTTGGTATCTTTAAGCATCTTATTTATTCAAAGCAGGTAAGTCCATCACTAACCCACACAGGATATTTGTTCTGATGAGCTGCCAAGTCTAGCTGTTGAATTAAAGGAGACCAAAGAAAGAGGCAGAAGATGGGCTTTGGCACCGTTGGAAAGAATCCAAGTCTCATAGAATAATGGAGAGAAAATATTGGGAGGCTTAACAGGCAACTTTATCAGCCTTGGCTTCTTTCAGTTTTTGACCTGTTCTCCCATTTTGGCTGTATGCATTGCTAAATTACCTTCAAACACTGAGTTTCCACACTCTGATGTATGATGTTCCCTCCATACTGATTCCTTTCTCTGGCTTGCAAACTGCTTATCCTACAAGTCCTGCTTTGTATGTTACCTTCCCTATAAAGCATCCTCAGTATCCACAGTACACTATAGAGTTTGGAGTGTGGGTTCTGGAGCCAGAATGCCTGGATTCAAATCCTGACCATGTCTCTTGTTAGCTATGGATAAGTGACTTGACTTCCCCATGCCTCAGCTTCCTGATATGCAAAATGGAAATAATCATAGTAACTAATTTCATAGCGGTGTTGTAATGCTTAACGAGCTGGTGCATGTGAAGTATTAAAAATATTGTCTGGCACATAGTAAGTGCTTAGTGTTGGCTAGCATTTTTCCTCAGGTAGAGTTACTCACTCTTTTTGGACACTCACGGTATAATCTTCTGTGATAATGATTATCACAGTGTGGTGATTATTTTGTTTATATGCCTCTAAGATGTTGGCTTGCAGAAGATCAAAACAACATTGTTCTTTCTGTCTTGCATAGTGTCTCATGTGATACATGGTCTGTAGTGCAACTTCAATAAATGTTTATTAAAATAATGAACTGTGGGAAATTTTGTGGTCCATTTAAAGATGAATTAATAAGGGACCCAAGGTGAAGTTATTACTAATTAAATCAGCTATAGTGATTAACCAAATTACATAGTCATTTGTAGTTTTGCAGTTTTAATCTTTGACTATATTATGGTCAAATCCATACGTACAAAGATGAAAGAAGGAAGTGAAAATTTATTGAACACTATGTGCTATATGCTTTATATATCATAATTGGTGACCTTTAAATTATTACCATTTTACAGTTGAGGAAACAGATTCAGAGATGTTTAGTGATATATCTAAGGTAAAAAACAAACAAAAAACCAAAAACAAACTAGAGGCTGGGCGCTGTGGCTTACACCTGTAATCCCAGTACTTTGGGAGGCCAAAGCGGGCAGATCACCTGAGGCCAGGAGTTGAAGACCAGCCTGACCAACATAGAGAAACCCCATCTCTATTAAAAATACAAAATTAGCCAGGCTTGGTGATGCATGCCTGTAATCCCAGCTACTCCGGAGGCTGAGGCAGGAGAATTGTTTGAACCTGGAAGGCAGAGGTTGTGGGGAGCTGAGATGGTGCCATTGAACTCCAGCCTAGGCAAGAAGAGTGAAACTCAGTCTCAAAAGACAAAGAAAAACTAGTGAGTGACAGGCTGAGGTTTCTAACAAAGGGAGTCAAACTGTAGACTCTGAAGTATCTGTTTTGTACTTTTTTGTATTGTCTCAATGAACTTATTCTTTTTTGTTGTTGGTTACTTTCTATCATCACCTCTACTTCTGTCCCCATTAAAGATTTTATCATTTAGCCATAAATGCCCTTGGGCCCCTGAGGCTTATGCCTTATTTCTCATTTGGTTTCTGTTTCCCCCCCACCCCGCCCCCCCATGGAAAGCAAACCATTGTGCTTGCTTTGTCAGTCATTGGTAGTCTAAAAATAGTTTTGTAACCAGATAAAGGAATTCAGGTATGAACAGGGAGTTGAAGTGTTGAATTCAGCTTGATAAAAATTTCAGACTTCTAACTGTCAGCTCTGTTTAGCTTCACAGTCCTCTATCAGTATGGTATAACCTCACAAGCCACAAAAAAGAGCTCTCCCTGAAGGATCTGTTAGTCATGGAGGAAATAAGACCTTTTTGCTTCTCCTAGATTCTCTAGCTCTACCAGCAGGTTCAGATTGTACTACCCTCAGAGTAGACCCCATGCATCTGAGTGGTGAAACTCTGTTGGTCTCCCATACAGAGAAATCCTCACTATTGAACCTTTCTCTTTCCTGGCACTTCCTGCCTGAACAATTTTCCAATAGTGCCTGTCCTCTGCTCCCAAGCTCTTTCTAACCAATGCATCTAGTTCCTTCGTAACATCTGGATTTTGATTGTCCCTGAGATCTTTCATCCTGGAAAACCATCTTTCTATCTCTTAGACCTAATTTCTCCAAACTGGGATTCCTTTCACCCTGTATCCCTCCTGCCCTGCAGAATATTTCAGCTATTCAGGGTGCCCAAGCATTATTTCTACCAGTGATGAATTTGGTTTCTCCATTTTTTGTTTCCATACTTGAGAACTTAGTTGGAAAACAAGTCAGATCACCATGTCATTGAAGAATTTTGTTTCTTCTTCTCTTTTTAGTTATAATGCTTTGATGCTTGAAAAACATTCAGAGCTTGACTGAAAAAACTTGAGGGTAAATTTCCACTATTACTAAGGTATCTCTACTTCAAAGTATCTGGTAGGTTATGTAGATTACCCACTTATAGATAACAAATATATAATATCTCAGGGGCAAACAGTAATCTAGAAATTAAATGATGGACTTCTGTGAAGAACTTCCTCCTTTCCCCACTCCTCACCAGTTTTTGACTGATGGCAGGTTTTCAGGGGGTAAAATCAGTTTAGAGAATTACACTATAGGCATTTTCTTTTCCTTTATGGACTCTGCTGTATCATTGAATAAATAAATAATTCTACCATATTCCAGCTTTCCCATCAGGGGCAAATGGCAATGTGCTCCCAACTTACCTTCTTGCTTCTGCCCTTGTTCCTAAATACAGCAACCAGAGTGACTCTGTTAAGGTATAAGCTAGATAATCTCACTCCTCTGCTCAAAACCCTCCAATGGCTTCCCACTCCTTACCAGGTGAAGCTAAACGCCTTATGAGAGCCCTCAAGATCATCCATGATCTGGCCCCCTATCTGACTTTACCTGCCCTTACTCTCTCCTTTGATCCCTCTATTCCATGCATGTTGGGTGCCTTGCTGTTCCTTGGACTTCACAGGCATTCTCTTGCCTTAGGGTCTTTGCAGGCTTTTTCTGGATCTCTCTCCAGTATTCTTTTTACTCAAGTCCTTTAAAATCTTGACGTTCCCTGTGGGAGCTTCCCTTATGACCCTACTTAAAAATCACAAAACCCAATGTTTTCAATTGTTTTCTACTTTTTCTCATCTATCATAGCATTTATGGTGCTCACTTAAATATTTTGTTCATCTTTCTCCACTAAAATATAAGTTCAACTTGGGCAGAAATCTTGGCATTTGTTCATTGTTTTATTCACAGCCTCTAGAACAGAGTCTGGCACAATAAATATTTGTTGACTGAGTAATGGTATGGCCTAGAATTTTGACATTTTTTCCATTGATTTCCCTGCAGTCTCTTATGGGCTATACATAAGGGCACGGTGTGTGTTTTGTCTCTCTCTCCTTGAGGAGTCTGCCAGCAGTTTGAATCTGTCACAAAGAACTGGGCAACATCCAGATCAGACCCAGAAGGATTCTCTGGGGGGCAGGCCCTTGGTCTTTTTCTTTTTAAATTCTGGAATAATTTTATATTCATAGAAAAGTTGCAAGAATAGTTGCAAGATAGTAGAGAGGGTTGCTGTGTATCCCTTATCACATTTTCCCCTATTTTTAAAATACTTTATTGAGGTAGGATTGCCATACAAAAAGCTGTACACATTTAATGTTTACAACTTGATGAGTTTGGATATAAGTATACACCCATGAAACCATCACCACAATCTATGCCATAAACCTAGTCATCACCTTCAATTATTATTAATTTTTGTGGCAAGAACACTTAACATAAGATCTATCATCTTAGCAAATTTTTAAGAGCATAATATATTGTTAATTATAGGCACTATGTTGTAAAGTAGATCTCTAGGATTTATTGATCTTGTATAATTGAGACTTTGTACACTTTGATTATTATCTCCTAGTCTCTGAGCTACTGGCAGCCACCAGTCCACTCTGCTTCTGAGTTTGACTATTTCAGATTTATTATGTAAATTGTATTGTGTAGTATTTGTCCTTCTGTGTCTGACTTATTTCACTAACCATAATGTTCTCCAGATTCATCTATGTTGTTGCAAATGGCAGAATTTCCTTCCTTTTTAGGGCTGAATAATACTCCATCATATTTATATACCACATTTTCTTTATCCATTTATTCACGGATGGGCATTTAGGTTGCTTCCATGTCTTGGCTATTGTGATTAATGCTGCAGTGAACATGGAAGTGCAGATGTCTCTTTGAAATCTGTTCCCTTGTTCTTTACATTCCTTTCCTTTTTTTATATTTCAGCTTTTCCTTTTTACAACAATCCCACATGTAAATGGCACTTTAATCCATCCCCAATAATCTCATTTGATCTTCACATCAATCCTGTAGACAGAGAAGGAAGTAATGAAAACAGCAATTACTGAGCATTACTTTGTACATGAAAGTGAGCCAGGAAGTTTCATAATAGTTATTTCATTAATACATTTGCCCCAGAATAGAGGTATCTTATTTCTATGTTACAGATGGGGCTTGGAGAGTTGGTGACTGGCAACATGCCTGCAATCACACAGTCACTCAAACCTAAGCCTACTCTTCCATCCTCTTTCCTCTATGCTCCCAAAGCCTCTTTTATGTGGGCTTGGTTTCATTTAAGTCACATTTCAGGTTTGCTTCTTCCCTAGAGACTTTTTGGCTTTAGGAAGAACAAGTTGTAGGTTCTTCATTTTGGTTACTATTTGTCCTTGAGCGTGAACCCAGGGACCATAGCAGTCAGACACAATTTAATGAATTGCAAAAACAAGTGAACATTGTAGGGTTTTAACTCATCAGAAGAAAGTTGCCTCATCAATTTAGGGCACAGTACATCACAGAAATGAGCTTGTCTTCAATATTTGGCTTGGCACATTGACAACGAGCACAGGGGGTTTTACTTTGGGAAGAGCACTGAAGGTCCTTCATCCTGTGCGGGAAAGATTAAAACTCTTTCAAGGCAGAATTTGAGTTCTCTGAAAAAGAAGAGGTGATTTGGAGAAGCCAATCTGTCCCAGCAAAAGTACACACAACTTAAAAAATCTAATTCAGCCAAGTTTTCTCTGTTGGCAGCATCTAGGACATATTCTCATCTTATAATCAGCCAGTCCTAGGAGAACTTCTCAATGTTAAAAAAAAAAAAAAAAAAAAGTCCCCAGATTATCCAAATAGTAAAGTTTGAAAAGCAGCCAAAGCGAATTGCATTTTTCCTATTACTACCACATGTGCTGTCTTGCATACCCCATTTTATAAAGAGCAGAATAATGGTACATTGTCTATCAGGAATGCAGCCCCACATCATCCCATTGGCATGATGGTGTTCTAGAGCAGAAAACCACAGGCCTGTGGCTTTCCTTACACAGAGTTCCCATCCTTCCTAACAGCTTACTTAATTCTCACTCAGTTCATGTGCTTAGAATTTAAGTTTTCTTTTCTCCCCATGCAAGCTACACGTGTTGCATTTACACACAGTGAAAGGACTTTATTTTTCATCTGAGTAATTTTACTTTGGCGCATTCAGGATACGCCCATGCAAACAAATAAAATGTTTTGCCACCCAAAAGAACATTTTTAGAAAGTGTTCAAGTGCAAGTGTAGTTGGAAGAATCTTTTGTGGGGAGCCAAGGTGGCTACTGAGTGTGCAGAAAGATTTGGATTGGGCTCGCAACAACATGGAGGCACGGGGCATGGTGCAACATGCTTAGTGACTTATTTGTCATCTTATATAGAGAAGCAACAAAGAAAAAAGAAAAAAAATGCTATCTGATTTTAAAGCAGGAAATATCTGGGTTACAAATGTCAGCCCTGTCTTCTATTTGTTATGTGACCTTGGGTATGACATTTAACCTCTGAGTCTCATTTGCCTTATCTGTAAAAAGATTGGTCATCTCTTTCTTATAGTTTTATAAGGAATAAATGACACTATATAACTGATATACATAGCATATTTCTTTCCTCCCTTCACAATTCCTTCCTACGTTGATGGCTTATTGGTCCTCTGGGAGTAACTGGGTGGGTTTTGCCTTCCCTCCCACTTCATAATCAAGTTAGCTCATTCTCTCCTCATTCTTTCTCCTTGAAGGCATGCTTTCAGCTGTGTGTCTGCAGTGGAGATGCTACAGGTTAAAATCCTGAGAAGATCTCAGCACTGAAAGTTGCATAACCATCCACTGTTAAATATTAAAGTTAATATTTACATTGAACTTTAACATTTAAGAAAGATTTTAAGGCTGGGCACGGTGGCTTATGCCTGTAATCCCAGCACTTTGGGAGGCTGAGGTGGGCAGATCATGAGGTTAGGCGATCGAGCCCAGCCTGGCTAACAGGGTGAAACCCTGTCTCTACTATAAATACAAAAATTAGCCAGGCGTGGTGGCGGGTGCCTGTAGTCCCAGCTACTCGGGAGGCTGAGGCAGGAGAATGGCGCGAACCCAGGAGGTGGAGCTTGCAGTGAGCCAAGATCGCGCCACTGTACTCCAGCCTCAGTGACAGCAAGACTCTGTCTCAAAAAAAAAAAAAAAAGAAAAAAAAAGATTTTAAAATAAGTCATCTTGTTTGATTCTCAAAATTATTCTGTGAACCAGTTATTAATATTCATTGTTATTTCATTTTCCAGATGAGGAAGTGGGGGCTCTGAGAACTTAAGGGACTTGACTAAGGTTACACAGTTGAAGTAAGCATGGGCTTCACCCAGTGGACCTAAGAGTAACATATGGTACTTTTCAGGTACTGACTTTACCTCTCTTCTGTACTCCTCACCTCCTTGCTACCACTGGCCTTCCTGGTCCCCTTGTATTTCTAGGATTCCCTGAAGACCCTTTCATAAGTCCTCACAAGCACATCCTCTTAGCTACTGCCTGGAGTTGGCCATTTTTGTTCTCTCTAGATTTGGTTTATTTTGGTGAGATCTGTCGCCTGAATTGAAGCATTGTGAAGGTTCCTCCCTGTTGCTATGGCTACAGGTGCCTGCCATCAAAGGAGCTTATATTGAATGTGCAGTTTCATTGTGCTCCCAAAGTCCCTGGTGCTGCTGCTCACCACATGCCACCTAAGCCATAGAGATCCTGCTCACAGTACCTCTGTGGTTAGACCACCCAAGTGGGGAGAAAACCTTTCCCTGTTTTGTGTCAGGCTCCTTTCCTGGAGCCTCAGAGCAGTACTGCCTTGCCCCTCACCCCCGTCCCAATGGCTTATGAAGTTTAGTGAAATAGTACTTTTAGTTTTACCATAGTCCCTCTTGAACGTCCCAGTGAGATTTGGTCAAGGAAAACATAAACCCAAACAACAGATAACATGTTGACCTTGGAATCATCCTGTGACTTCAACCACTAATCATTAACTGATATATCTGATAAGCTATTTCTTATTTTTCAATGAGTATTTCCCTCTGAGTTTCCTTAGTCCCACAAGCAAAAAAGCTACCTTCTGGTGGTCCCTACTTGTCTTCAAATGCAGCTGAATCATCTGGTGACCATAGCTTAGGTCCATGCAGGGACTACTTCCATCCATGTATTATTACAATGATACTCTGGCTTCTGGATTTCAAAGACCAGTAACAGTTCAGAAACAATTTGCAGAAATAACATTGAATTGCCAAATGTTTATTTTGCCACCTGAGGAAAATAACAAAATAGAGAAAACCCAAAACAATAGCCATTTACTAAAATCATACAGAAAGAGATGGACTTTCGCCAGCTCTTTAATAACATAGAATCTTAACACAAGAAAAGTTGGAAAGACTTTAACACTCAAATAAAGGGTTAGTCTCTTATTGGATGAATAGCTTTATTAAGAATCTGCAAGTCTTTATTCTCCTATTTTGCTTCAGACTATAAAATATGTGTTGCAGTCTGGCATTTTAGAAATGGTATATTGCTTCATTTGCTATTCACAACAGTGAAGTAAGTTTTATGATTGTTCCCGTTTTACAAGTGTAGAAGCTCGGGATCAGAGGAGTTGGGCATCTTACCTAAAGTCACAGACATAATAAGGAGAGCAGCTAGGACTTAAATACAAGTCCTGCATTGCCAAACATATCCTTGCTAGGTTGATAAAGCTGCTAAACATGGTGGGAATACTCAACTGGAATTAAGTCTGCTCCCATACTTAAGCTTTTTGAAGTATTTAAAATAAATTCCTTTAAAATGGGTAATTGCTTATTATTTTTCACCAGCATGTTCTTTTGGCCACATATTTACAAATGTGCACACACATCTATGAAGATTATCAGTCTGAACAATGTGTTATAAATTGTGTGCAAAGTCTTTTATCTCTATAATCTGAGGAATCTACTATAGAAAATATTATGGGATTGTTATTGTAATTCTAAGTGTTGCAAACATCCAGCTCTTTCTCTTTGTGTGCTCACACAGAAAATGGACAATAATGAAATCTTTTTAGACTTCATTTTGCTTACTTTTCCCTTTTCTTCTCTATCTCATTCTTCCTACATCTTTGTCTTCCCCTGACTTTTTCTTTGAGATTGTGACTGTTGGGTCTGTGGAAACATCTTCAGGGAATATAAGTTTTTGATGAATCAGCCTCAAGGTTTCCTCATGCTAGGGTGGCTCCTTTTGTCCAAGTTAATCTTCAGTTTATACCAACCATGAACATGAACAAAATGGTTTATTTCTGGTGGTGGTGGGCTGGAGGGACAGAGAAAATCATAGGGAGGATGCATGGCATACATGGATTTAATATTTTATATTTCTGCTTTTTATGAATGACTCTGGAGGCCAATGCTCTGGAGCCCCTTGTAATTTTTCTAGGACTGCTCAGCACCTATATTTTAGTATGGTTTTTTTGTTTGTGTTTACCACATGGTCTTACTTAGTTCTCATAGAAAGTCAGTATTTGGATCTCAGAATGCCCATTTTGTAGATGAAGAAAATTTGGCAGAGTATATGGTATAGACATATGGAGTAGTCAAAACGGGGGTGTTCAGGAGTCTTGGTCTCATTCTTCTAAAATATAAAGGTTACATGATATATCGTAGCCCACTTCTACTAAAATTTTGTTGAAGGACTTCCTCTCGCTTCACATTGTTTCTGGAATCATTTGCATTAGTTCTGAAGAATTTTTTATTCTTTTGAAGCTGAAATCTTAAAAAAAAAACCCCATCTTATTTGGTTTGCGTATTTTTAACTGGAGAAAGTAAGGAGAATTTGGAATCTAGAAATTCAGGAGAGTGAAACACTAATTAAGTGAGTTCTTTAGGTGGAAATTGTTTTAACTTTTCAGCTTTATTAGAACCTGTAGTGATCATGATACAGATACGTTAATGTTCTGTCTACCAATTACTCATTTCACGAGACAAGTCTGTGCTGAGGAAAAACATCTCCTTGAAGCCCTTTGATTTTCCAGGTAGAAGGATGGAAGGACATCTAATTTTCTTTAAAGTTTGGTTCAGAGAAGACCATTTCCTTTTTTTCACCAACCCTTTGGCAAGAAGCTTTTCACAATTACAAAAATGTTTATGAAAATATTGTTACTGGGTTTTCTCTTCTGGAGAAATTCCTCTTGGGACTCTGGGATGAAAGATGGAAGAGGGGTAGGGGTGGGCTGTTTCACAGTATCAACTATAGTAAAATTTTAGTAGTGAATTTTTTTATAACTTGGTAAAATTCAGTAATTTTTCTTAAGAACAAGTTGGGATGAGTGGCTAGATTCCTGTGAGACGGACTGATAAAATTCTGTCTTATAAGAGATCATTCCATCCTCCCAATTTATAATTTCCTGCTCACTTATGACAGGGCTGGAATACCAGCTCTTTGGGGGAACCTAGGAGATTCCAAAACACAGATTCTTTGGAACCTGAGAGATTAAACATCACAGACCCATTCATTCATTAATCAGTCTTTCATTTAATGAATATTTACTATGCAAAACTACTCCAGGCATGACTCTAGGGGCTGGGTACAAATGTACAGAAGATGGGGGCAGATACATGGTTTCTAACTCCATGGAGCTTACTGTCTGGGGACAGACAGGAAATAAACACACAAAAGTAGATAATAAAAGTTTTGTTGGACTCTGAAGGAAGAGAGAAGGGGAGAAGGAACAGAGAAAGAATGTAGGTCTTTGCTCAGCCTTGTCCTTTTACCTTTAGTGAACTGACCACTGAAAGCCCACCCAGCAAGAGATGGCTTGCATGTGCCCACTGTGTTCCCAGAAACAGTTCTGGACCATTCCCTGCCTTCCTGCTTTGTTTCTTGCCTCCTGCTTTTTATTCGTTTGTTCACTCATTCATTCAGCACACATTTTTTGAGCATCTAATCACTTCCAGGCCTTCTGCTAGGCACTGGGAACACAACAGTGGAAGACAAGCCTGATTGCTAGTTTCATGGTGGCCACAGGCTGGTAAGACATGAAGACAAGTTACCAGGTGATTAAAATACAGTGGATGTGGGCTCTGGTAGAGACAGAACTGGACAGTGGAAGGCAAACAGCTTTGGGGGATAAGAGATGGGATGTAGAAAACCAAAGATGAAGGGAAAGCAGAGTGTTGTAGAGTATGCCAGGCAGAATGAACAGCATATATAAAAAGGGGGAAGAGGAAGCAGAGGTTTCTGGTGAACTGAAGATAATTAAGGGCAATAGAGGGAAGGTGTGGAGGGGGAGAAGTAGAGGGACAGGAGATCTGAGAGGGAGGCACAGACAAAGTAATGCAGGACTTTGAAGGTTATGTTAGTTTGCTTTTACTCAACACCTGGTATCTAGGCATTTTCTCTTGGTTTGACTCTCACGCCCTTTACATTTTATTTTTTTCTGAGAATCTCACTGGCTTGTATACTTCAGTCCCTGGAACCCAACTTTATTATCTATCCACTTTCCTGGCAATCTTCACTAGATCTTCCTGGGCCTGGATAATATGGGCTTACACTCATGAAAATCTTAAAAATACCTATGGATTTATGAGGTGGTCTGGACTATTTTCATGAGATAAAAGTACTGAGTATCAAAAAGGTTGAAGAACTGATCGTACCTGAAATAGAATACTAGGGTGTTGGGGGTGTAGTCCTAGAGATGACAAGGCTTCCAACCTTAGGTGACCAGGAGTTCTTGTGCTCATTGCAATTTGTATATTTCTCACGCTTGCCTTTTGAAGATCAAGCACCCTGGGAACACTGAGGCAGCTCAAATGATGTTTGTGAATTTTGCCTCCTAAACCACTTTAAACCTCCCATGGTTGACGAGTACTGAAAATCACAAGGGGGTTTATTTAGATTCACAGTTCTGTATCCAAAACCCTTAAAGCCAAATATATTTCATAAGTCAAATGTTTATGATTTTGGAAAAGTAAAATGGAGCATATATTTGATATTTTGGGACACCCCCAGGAGGTCTGAAGTGGTACCTACCTTGTAACTATCATGTTAATATTTCCACAGCAGAATGTACAAATCCATGCAAAGTTAGATAAAGCCTTTAAAAAGTTTTCAGTGAGCTTAGGCGAGGTTTTGCCTCCAGATGAGTTAAGTCCGGGTTTTGTTGCCAGATGAGTTATGTAAAGATGTTTACATTTCAGAGCTTTTGAATTTCAGAACTGCAGATGAGAGAGTTTGTGGGTCCGCAGCATATCGATTTGCTAGGCACGATGGAAGAAATTATTCACTATAGGAATTGAGAAACTCTAGAAGATTTCCTAACCAGGAGAGTGAAGTTCTGGTTGGAGACCTACTAAATCAGACCATCTGGGAGTGGACCGGGAGAAGATAAGTTTAACAAGCTCTCAGGTGATTCTGATTCCCATCAAATTTAAGAACCTCTACTCTAGAAGAAATTTCCAAGAGAGATTGTGAAATTTTCTTCTCTAGTCGTCTAAGAAAATGTTGATTTCTTTTAGATCTTTGTGAACGGATAAATGTGTCAACTTTGCAGCAAACAGGCTCCAGCTGGAGTGAGGATTGGGATTCAAGTACTTGAGCTTTTTGGGCTTCTGTTTCTCTAGAGATCAAGACTGCCCGACTGGAAGATCTGTGACTGACATGCATATGAATGTGCTTGGACTAGGACTCTACATTTCCTCCTCCTCTTGCTCCTCAACTACTCAAGTACTTTGATGCAATGTCTCCTGCATGACTAGCCCTCTGCTACACACTGCAGAAAGAATGGTTGATTCCTACTCTCAGAGAACTTACTGTCTCCGCAAAGAGAAAACACCTGCACATGTGAGTGTGCATTAATGCCAGAGCTTTTAATTTGGTCACAGTTCAACTGAATACTGTTACCACTTCAGAGCTACATCAACATATGTCCTTTTTACTTTGACTTTTGGGGAAATGCTAAACTTATATGGCAGAGATACTAAAGAGGGAGGAAACCTAAAAGAGCATGGGAGAGACATTCATATCAAGATATGATAAGATATGAATATGGTTACCTTATTTTTATAAACAAAGGATTTACTAGAAGTGGGGTAAAGGGACAGGACTTTGATGTCAAAATAGTACTGACTTTGCATCTTATTTCTGCCTTTATCAGCTTTATGACCTTAGGCATGTTAACTAAATCTGTGTCTCAGTTTACCCATATATAATATGGAGACAATAACACTTACTCCATGGGGCTGCCATGTGGATTAGGTCAGTTTCTCTCTATGGAATCACCTGGAACCGTGAACACTCGTTTCTGTGTTCTCTCTGCCCCAGGAAACTTGGCTCATTTGTGTTTCTGCATTTGTTCTTTATCCTGCGTCATTCATTTATCTGGTGCTCATTGGTTTTTCACACTGGATTGTGAGCTCTTAGAGTACATGGACCTCATCTTTCTAGTTCTCATTTCTTGTGTCTGGCATATGTAGTAAGCTCTCTGCAAAGGTTTTTTTGAGAAAAGAGATGTGTGAATTACAGACTTAGTAAAGGAAGTGGTATGGTAACTATTTAAACAGCTCATTAATAAAAATGTATGCGTGTGTTGTCTTTATTATAAACTTTACTGATTTAAAGGATGTATAGCACAAATCTACAAATTATAAAATATATAATATACTTTGGCTTTCTTCCGTAGAGCCAATTGATTCTTTCAGAGTGCTTTCTTAAGTATAGATCAGGGGTTGGCAAAGTACGTCCTGTGAGTCAAATCTGACCCACCACCTACCTTTGTAATAAAATTTCATTGAAAAATAGTCACACTCAGTGACTGCTTTTGCACTACAATGACAGAGTTAAGTAGTTGTGACACAGATCATATAGCCCACAAAGCCTAAAGTATTTACCATCTGGCCCTTTACAGAAAAAGGAATCTGTCTATCCTTCCCTATACTCTTCTCTTCCTATTCCCCATCTGTCCTCTTCATTCTTCAACTTCTTCTTGTGCAATCCTTAAATGTCAAAACCACTTTTAGCTTGTGATCCCTGCAAAAATAAGCTAAGGGCTGGATTCGTCCATCAAGTCATATATGGTTGAGCCCTGGTCTTGACAATCAATAGAACAATAAATCATGTCCCAATTTATAACATTTACCAATTTCTGTGGTGTAAATACTCAAATTGGCTGATTTCAAGCTACTGGCATGATATCATTAAATATGGAATTAGAAGAGATGTATAATAGCACACTCATTTATTTCCATCATACAGAATCTATAGACATCAATAACCACAAGAGCATAGAGAGCAGTAAAATGTAACAAAATATGAAGTGATAAGTTTTTAAGATAACTTATTTAATAAGAAGTTTATAAAACTTAATTTTTTTAAATATCTGTAATCAACAACTGGCTTGCAAAATTCCTGAAAATGTAATAGCTCTTGCAAGCCAATAAAAGCTGGGGCTAGTACATACTTGGCTTTTGAGTTAGTTTTTGCTGGAGGGCTGAGTTTTAAAAAGTGTTGAGGAAAGAGGAATTCTAGCTTTGTACCTCATTTCTTTATCCCACAGCTTTCATCTAGTTGAAATCCTAGTGACACTAATGCAGAATTTGATCCAAGCTGGACTTTCTCCCTGCAAAAGTTCAAACTGAACTAGCAGAGGTCAGGGTGGGGGTAAAACCCTGGAAAGGAGCCACACAGAAGTTGAAGTTGCTAAAACAGTGTTCGTCACTTTTTGACCCCCTGGTCAGTCTTGCCAGCCCTAGTGATCATCCCTGACCACCCAATTCTTATGAATAGGCTTTATTTGATGGTGTAAATAGAGCTTTTGGAGGAAGAAGGTGATTTTTTTTTTGAGTTGACCTCATTTATTGTTGGCTACATGTGAGTAACTGGACATTTGGCTTCTATACTTGGGAGGCTTATCCTCTTCTCTAATGGCAATGTGGCACCCTATTATCTGCAATATTACACTTTTAGGGAAGAGCAAGGAAGAGTCAAAACCAGCTGATGTAGTCATTATCATGAGTTGAAACAGGGCAAAGCCACCATCATACCATGCTTCTCATGCCGAGCTCGTTAATGGGTGTAATTTTGTTAGTCTTGCAGTAAGGAATCTTTGGGTCATTTACACTGTGAGAGGTGAGAAGTGAAAGCTAATTTAATAAAGTTGTCACCTTCTTAAAAGCATATTCAGAGGCTTGCTAGCTGAAGAAATTCGAATGAAAGAAAGGGGTCATTGCTGAAAGCTTTCTATTCTTTTCCCCATTTTACTTTGCTTCATTCAACAGGGATTTCTGGAAATACTGTCTAAGGAATGGCAAAAGAAATGAAGAGAAAAGTTACATTTCTTTTTTTTTCCACTTCCTTTGAAAGCTGTACATGAAGATCTGTGGCTTGTGTAGAGTGGATGAGGTGCTCTGTAGCTCTGAGACATTACCAAGGGGAATCCAGGGCCAGAGGTGTGCAGGTGGGGCTGTCAATCAGAGACAACATCAAGGGCTCTTACAAAAACAAAAGGAAAGAAAATGGATGTTTAATCAATAAAGTTGCTCTCTGCTTAACCTTTTGTGTTTTAAGCAACATTCACTGGAGCCCAGCAACAGAGTCCAATATTTAACACATAAAAGGTACTCAAAAAGGTGAGGACTTGGAGAGCAGCTAGAAAGTGAAGATGGAACGGAGGGTTAAGAAATGGAAAGAAAAAGAATTGGAGGAGAGGGAGGTCAAATGGATGCTTAAAGGCTGGGCACTGCTAGAGAGGCAGATGTGAGAGTCCGATGTTAGACTGTGTGAGTTTTGTACACCTGCTGATCTTGAGCTATATTCAGTTTACATTTTCTTCTAGAAGGTAATCAGAACAAAGTCAAGCTTTGGCTAAAAAAGAGGAAGCAGCTGCCATGAAAGCCTCAACTTAGAGTACTGTTCTGATGGCAACTGCCCACCACTCTATATCCACTCTGATTGGGGGTATGTAATTCAAAATGGTGGATGTGGTGGTATTAAGCATGTGCTACAGAAAACATCTGGAAAGAGCCTTTGGCTTCTTGGCAATACCCAAGTTAAGCTACTCATAATCTCCTTTGTGAACTATTTTAAAGTTCTGGGACACATGTGCAGAACGTGCAGGTTTGTTACATAGGTATACACGTGCCATAGTGGTTTGCTGCACCCATCAACCCATCATCTACATAAGGTATTTCTCCTAATGCTATCCTTCCCCTAGCCCCCAACCCCCAGACAGGCCTCAGTGTGTGATGTTCCCCTCCCTGTGTCCATGTGTTCTCATTGTTCAACTCCCCCTTATGAGTGAGAACACGCAGTGTTTGGTTTTCTGTTCCTGTGATAGTTTGCTGAGAATGATGGCTTCCAGCTTCATCCATGTCCCTGCAAAGGACATTAACTCATCATTTTTTATGGCTGCATGGTATTCCATGGTGTATATGTGCCACATTTTCTTTATTCAGTCTATCATTGATGGGTATTTGGGTTGGTTCCAAGTCTTTGCTATTGTGAACAGTGCTGCAATAAATATACGTGTGCATGCGTCTTCATAGTAGAATGATTTATAATCCTTTGGGTATATACTCAGTAACGGGATTGCTGGCTCAAATGGTATTTCTGGTTATAGATCCTTGAGGAATCACCACACTGTCTTCCACAATGGCTGAATTAATTTGCACTCCTACCAACAGTGTAAAAGCATTGCTGTTTCTCCACATCCTCTCTAGCATCTGTTGTTTCCTGACTTTTAATGATTGCCATTCTAACTGGCATGAGGAGGTATCTCATTGTGGTTTTGATTTGCATTTCTCTAACGACCAGTGATGATGAGCTTTTTTTCATGTTTGTTGGCCACATAAATGTCTTTTGAGAAGTGTCTGTTCATATCCTTCACCCACTTCTTGATGGGGTTGTTTTTTTTCTGGTAAATTTAAGTTCTTTGTAGATTCTGGATATTAGCCCTTTGTCAGATGGATTGATTGCAAAAGTTTTCTCCCATTCTGTAGGTTGCCTGTTCACTCTGATGATAGTTTCTTTTGCTGTGTAGAAGCTCTTTAGTTTAATTTGATCCCATTAGTCTATTTTGACTTTTTTTTTTTTTTTTTTTTTTTTTTTTGCTATTGCTTTTTGTGTTGTAGTCAGGAAGTCTTTGCCCATGCCTATGTCCTGAATGGTATTGCCTAGGTTTTCTTCTGGGGTTTTTATGGTTTTAGGTCTTATGTTTAAGTCTTTAATCCATCTTGAGTTAATTTTTGTATAAGGTGTAAGGAAAGGGTCCAGTCTCAGTTTTCTGCATATGGCTAGCCAGTTTTCCCAACACCATTTATTAAATAGGGAATCCTTTCCCCATTGCTTGTTTTCATCAGGTTTGTCAAAGATCAGATGGTTGTAGATGTGTGGCATTTATTTCTGAGGCCTCTGTTCCATTCCATTGGTCTATAGATATGTTTTGGTAGCAGTACAATGCTGTTTTGGTTATATATAAACTATATACCTTGTAGTATAGTTTGAAGTGAGGTAGCATGATGCCTCCAGCTTTGTTCTTTTTGCTTAGGATTGTCTTGGCTATACGGGCTCTCTTTTGCCTCCATAGGAAATTTAAAGTAGGTTTTTCTAACTCTGTGAAGAAAGCCAATGGTAGCTTGATGGGGATAGCATTGAATCTATAAATTACTTTGGACAGTATGGCCATTTTCACAATAATGATTCTTCTTATCTATGAGCATGAAATGTTTTTCCATTTGTTTGTGTCCTCTTATTTCCTTGAGCAGTGGGTTGTAGTTCTCCTTGAAGAGGTCCTTCACATCCCTTATAAGTGGTATTCCTAGGTATTTTATTCTCTTTGTAGCAATTGTGATTTGGAGTTCACTCACAATTTGGCTCTGTTTGTCTATTATTGATGATAGGAATGCTTATGATTTTTGCACATTGACTTTGTACCCTAAGACTTTGTACCAAAGTCTTTGTACCCTAAGACTTTGCTGAAATTGCTTATCAGCTTAAGGAGATTTTGGGCTGAGACAATGGGGCTTTCTAAGTACACAATTATGTCATCTGCAAAGAGACAATTTTACTTTCTCTCTTCCTATTCGAATACGCTTTATTTCTTTCTCTTGCCTTATTGCCCTGGCCAGAACTTCCAATACTATGTTGAATAGGAGTGGTGAGAGAGGGCATCCTTGTTTTGTGCCGGTTTTCAAAGGGAGTGCTTCTGGCTTTTGCCCATTCAGTATGATATTGGCTCTGGGTTTGTCATAAATAGCTCTTATTATTTTGGGATGTTCCATCAATGCCTAGTTTGAGAGCTTTTAGCATGAAAGGCTGTTGAATTTTGTCGAAGGCCTTTTCTGCATCTATTGAGATAATCATGTGGTTTTTGTCATTGGTTCTATTTATGTGTCAGATTATGCTTATTGATTTGCGTATGTTGAACCAGCCTTGCATCCCAGGGATGAAGCCGACTTGATTGTGGTGGATAAGCTTTTTGATGTGCTACTGGATTCGGTTTGCCATTATTTTACTGAGGATTTTCGTATTGATCTTCATCAGGGATATTGGCCTGAAGTTTTCTTTTTTTGTTGTGTCTCTGGCTGGCCTGATAAAATGAGTTGGAGTCCCTCTTTTTCTATTGTTCAGAATAGTTCCAGAAGGAATGGTAACAGCTCCTCTTTGTACCACTGGTAGAATTCGGCTGTGACTCCATCTGGTCCTGGGCTTTTTTTGGTTGATAGGCTATTAATTACTGCTTCAATTTAAGAACTTGTTATTGGTCCATTCAGGGATTCCACTTTTTCCTGGTGTAGTCTTGGGAGGGTGTATGTGTCTAGGAATTTATCCATTTCTTCTAGATTCTCTAGTTTATTTGTGTAGAGGTGTTTATAGTATTCTGTGATGGTAGTTTGTATTTCTGTGGGATCAGTGGTGATATCCCCTTTATCATTTTTTGTGTCTATTTGATTCTTTTCTCTTTTCTTCTTTATTAATCTGTCTAGGGGGTCTATCTAGTTTGTTGATCTTTTCAAAAAAACCACCTCCTGGATTCATTGATTTTTTTTTGAAGGGTTTTTCATGTCTCCATCTCCTTCAGTTCTGCTCTGTTCTTATTTATTGTCTTCTGCTAGCTTTTGAATTTGTTTGCTCTTGCTTCTCTAGTCCTTTTAATTGTGATGTTAGGGTATCGATTTTAGATCTTTCCTGCTTTTTCCTGTAGGCATTTAGTGCTATAAATTTCCCTCTAACCACTGCTTTAGCTGTGTCCCAGAGATTCTGGTATGTTGTGTCTTTGTTCTCATTGGTTTCAAATAACTTATTTATTTCTGCCTTAATTTTATTATTTATCCAGGAGTCATTCAGGAGCAGGTTGTTCAGTTTCCATGTAGTTGTGCGATTTTGAGTGAGTTTCTTAATCCCGAGTTCTAATTTGATTGCGCTGTGGTCTGAGAGACTGTTTGTTATGTTTTCCATTCTTTTGTGTTTGATGAGGAATGTTTTACTTCCAATTATGTGGTCAATTTTAGAATAAGTGCGACGTGGTGCTGAGAAGAATGTATATTCTGTCGATTTGGGATGGAGCATTCTGTAGAGGTCTATTAGGTCTGCTTGGTCCAGAGCTGAGTTTAAGTCCTGTATATGCTTGTTAATTTTCTGTCTCTTTGATCTAATATTGACAGTGGAGTGTTAAAAGTCTCCCACTATTATTGTGTGGGAGTCTAAGTCTCTTTGTAGGTCTCTAAGAACTTGCTGTATATATCTGGATGCTCCTGTGTTGGGTGCATATATATTTAGGATAGTTAACTCTTCTTGTTGCATTGATCCCTTTGCCATTAAGTAATGCCCTTCTTTGCCCCAAATAAGAGACGCAGACTGGCAAATAGGATAAAGAGTCAAGACCTATCCTGGTGTGCTGTGTTCAGCAGATCCATCTCATGTGCAAAGACACACATAGGCTTAAAATAAAGGGATGGAGGAATATCCACCAAGCAAATGGAAAGCAAAAAAAAAGCAGGGGTTGCAATCCTAGTCTCTGTTAAAACAGACTATGTGAACTATTAAAATAGCCTCCTAGCTATCAGCCTGCCTCCACGTTCAGGTACATTCTCCAGAGTGTCATTTTTCTTAATTAAAAAAATTAATTTTAAAAACATGAAAATTATAGAAAAGTGTGAAGAGAAAACTAATAACCATCCATATCTCATCCATCCTACGGTCAGCATTTACTGAGTACCTATTATGTGGCAGGAACTGTTTCAGGAAATACAAAAATGAATATAGCTGACCCCTTTACTCAGTCTGGATGGAAAGACATGCAGGCAAATGATTGTAATATTTTGCTTCTGTACATGCATATATGTTCATAATAATTTTGATTATTAATTTGATTAAGCAATATATGCAAACAGAACAAAATTCAAAAATTACAAAAGGACATAGAATAAATGGTAAGTCTCTTTCCTACTTCTGTCCTTTACCCAGTTTTCTATCCCAGAGGCAACCACAGGTACCAGCTTATTTTCCTTTTCTTTCTCTGTAATTATATATATATATATTTATAAGCATATACATATATACATATCCATATACATAACACACAAGTAGCACATTAAATACCTCATTCTACATTCCACATATTTTACTTTGTGTATTTTGGAGATCATTCAGCAGCAGTAAGAACAGTCTACTTTGTATTTGGCTGCATAGCATTTAATTGTGTACATATCAAAACATATGTTTTATATATAAGTATAAATATAAATATGTTTTATATTTATGTATGTTTTATACTTATATATGGATATCTAAGTATATATACATATACAGTAAATATGGCTTAAAATATATATAAGTATAAAACATATACAAATTTAAAATCATGTTTTAAATATATACTTTATTATTTAAGTGCAAAGTGTTAATTGATCATATTTCTCAATTCATGGAACATCATCCACAATGGTCCTTGCGAGGTCCTTTCTTTTCACATGCTGTTTTTAGATTTATCCATGTTTCTTTGTGTATATATAGTTTGTTGCATCTAAATAATGCTTAGAATTCCATAATATGCATCTAATACATTTTATTCATCCATTCTGGCAGTGAAGGAGAGAGAGCTAGGTTGCTTCTAACTCATCGCTATTATAAACAACTCAATGAATTATCTTTCAACATGTTCCCTTATCTACCTGTGTGATTGTTTTTATGAGCTATAAACCCAGAAGTTGAAAGTCTGGGCCAAAGGATGTATGTACATTTAATCAAAGTACTACCAGATTGCACACCAGAGTGACGGTACTTGTGTTCATTCCCAACACCATTGTGGGATGTGTCCTGTATTGCCACATTCATTTCAACACATCGTACTAGTGATGAGTACACAGCAATACCTCCTTGTTTTAATTTGTATTTCTATAAATAAAATTATTTTGAGCATATTTTTATATGCTTGTTTACCTGTTGGACTTCCTTTCCTGTGTATTGCCAGTTCATATCTCTGCATGGTTTTCTAGCTAGATTACCTAATCGTTCATTGTAAGTTGTAATAATCCCTTGAATATCCTGTGAATTCTAGATATTAGTTTCTTGTTTTTAGACAATGAAAATATTTAATCCCATCTGTCATCTATTGTGGATATCCATATTTTTATGTATAAAATTATTCCCCCCTTTTGTATTAAGCTTTCAGAGTTTTGTTTTAGAAGTCCTTGCTCACCCCTGGGTGTAAAACTATTCTCCTCCATTATCTTAAGTTATATCTTCCCCACCTACATTTTTAATTCATCTGCAACCACTATTGTATATGGTGTAAAGTAGGGATCTAGTTTTTAATTTTTCTTCATATATTAAGCTAGTTATTTGTAACAGTCCATTACTGCTGCTCTAACAACATACCACAGACTGGGTAATTTATAAACAGCCTAAATTTACTGCTCACAGTTATGGAGGCTGGGATGTTCAGGACCAAGGAGTGGGCAGCTTTGATGCCTGGTAAGAGCCCGATTTCTCTTTCCAAGACGGCACCTTGAACATTGTGTCCTCCAGAGGGGGCAAACGCTGTGCCTTCACTTGGCGAAAGGGCAAGGCACAGGGCACATGGGCCCTCCCTCCCACCTCACTGGATTAGGGGAGTATTAATCCACTAATGAAGGCAGAGTCCTCATGACTATAATCATTTTGCAAAAGGCCTCACCTTTTATTACCATCCCCTTGGGTTTAAGTTTCAATATGTGAATGTTAAAGGGACTGATACATCCAAACCATAGCAAATACCATTTATAAAGAATCAGGCTTTTCTATACTGATTTGTAGTGTCACCTTTATTACATATGAGGTTACCATAAATTCATGGGTCTGTTTCAGAACACTCTAATCTCCTCCATTGGTTTAATTCTTGTTATATACTGATTTTATTACCATGGTTTTGTAGCAGATCTTAATATCTGAAAAGCAAGTCTTTACTGTTTAACTTTTTCAAAGCTGACTTAATCATAGACATTTTGCTCTTCTCCATGAATTTTAGAATAAATCGAGTTCCTTAAAGGCCTACCTAAAATATAGTTTGGAATTTAAGTAACTTAATATTAGGAGAAATTGATATTTTTATGGTATATGGTTTTCTCTCCATTTATCCAGATCTGAAAACACAAAAATAATTCCATGGAGGCTTTTGAATGCTTTAATTCTTTATTAAGTGTAGTTTTTCTTGTTTTTTAGATGGTATCTTATATGTGATTACAGTTTCTATTTGGCAGTTCCTGGGGAAGAAAATTCTATTTACTTTTTATATGTTCACCTTTATTTAATAACATTGGTGAACTCATAATTATTCTAATAGCATGATGATTCCATTGTTTTTTATTCTATGGAGATGATCACACCACTTCCAATTATTGACTTTTTTGTTGCAGGAAGTCAGGGACCCCAAATGGAGGGACTGGCTGAAGCCGCAGCATTAGAACATAAATTGTGAAGATTTCACGGACATTTATTAGTTCCCCAAATTAGTACTTTTATAATTTCTTACACCTGTCTTTACTGCAGTCTCTGAACATAAATTGTGAAGATTTCATGGACATTTATCCCTTCCCCAATCAATACTCTTGTGATTTCCTATGCCTGTCTTTACTTTAATCTCTTAATCCCAACATCTTCATAAGCTGAGGATGAATGTCACCTCGGGACCCTGTGACGATTGTGTTAACTGCACAAATTGTTTGTAGAGCATGTGTATTTGAACAATATGAAATCTGGGCACCTTAAGAACAGGATAACAGCGATTTTCAGGGAAAAAGGGCGATAACCTTAAAGTCTGGCTGCCTGTGGGCCGGGCTGGACAGAGCCATATTTCTCTTATTACCAAAAACGGGTAAGAGAAATATCGCTCAATTCTTTCCCCAGTAAGGAATATTAATAACTAACAGCCCTGGGAAAAGAATGCATTCCCAGGGAGGCCTCTAAAATGGCCACCCTGAGAGTGTCTGCCTTTATGCAGATGTAGACAGGGAAGAAACAAGGCCTAGTTTCATGCAGTGCCCCCAGGCTTGCTAGGATTAGGAAATTCCAGCCTGGCAAATTCTAGTCAGACTGGTTCTCTGCTCTTGAACCCTGACAATGGGACAGTGGGACATGAAAGTTCATTAGTGATTCTAGTTTCACCCTGACATTCTGCCTCGTGATCTTTTGTCGCCCGTGAAGCATGTGATCTCTGTGATCCACACCCTATTCATGCACTCCCTCCCCTTTGAAAATTGCTAATAAAAACTTGCTGGTTTTACGGCTCAGGGGGCATCACGGAACCTGCCGACATGTGATGTCTCCCCGAACACCCAGTTTTAAAATTTCTCTCTTTTGTACTCTGTCCCTTTATTTCTCAGACCGGCCAACACTTAGGGAAAATAGAAAAGGACCCACGTGAAATATCGGGGGCTGAATTTCCCCCGATACTTTTTTATATCTTTTCTTCCACTCTGCATGCCTTATTATTTCTTTCCTTATTTCACTGGCCATGATCTATAGTACTATGATCAAAAAACAGCCATTTTTGTCTTGTTTGTGTTCTTAAATTTTCTTTAATAAGAAATATAGGCCAGACGCGGTGGCTCACACTTGTAATCCCAGCATTTTGGGAGGCCAAGGGAGGCAGATCACGAGGTCAGGAGATCGAGACCATGGTGAAACCCCATCTCTACTAAAAATACAAAAAATTAGCTGGGCGTGGTGGCAGGTGCCTGTAGTCCCAGCTACTTGGGAGGCTGAGGCAGGAGAATGGTGTGAACCCAGGAGGCAGAGCTTGCAGTGAGCCAAGATCGTGCCACTGCACTCCAGCCTGGGCAATAGAGTAAGACTCTGTCTCAAAAAAAAAAAAAAAAGAAATATATAGTGAATTCTCAGAAATATTTCCCATGTTAGTAAGGTTCCCTTCTATCCCTAGTTTGCTAAGAGTTTTTGTCATAAATAGGTAATAAAAATATATATATATATATATGTTTTACATATATATATATTTTGTTTGTTTGTTTGTTTGTATCTAGGGTTTTTCCCACTTAGCCCATTAATGTGTTGTATTTACTTGAAATATTTTTTGGTATTGAACCATCTTTGCATTCTTGGGATAAACCTTATCTGACCATGATTTTTTAAATATATATACTGTTAGTTATGGTTAGCTAATACTTTTGTTTCTAAAAAGTAAATTGGGCCTCTAATTTCTTTATGAGAAGTAATACGGCATAATGCTTAAGAGTATAGATTTTTCAAGCCAGACTCTGGATTTGAATTTCAGTTTGGCCACTTACTTGCTGTGTGATCCAGGGAAGCAGTAAACCTTCCTAGCCTTATTTTTCTTATCTACAAAATGTAATTAATACTAATGATACCTAATCTATAGCTTTCCATGATGAATAAATGAGTTAAAATATAGAAAGCATTCATAGAACTACCCAACATATGGTAAGCTCTAATTAAATGCTAACTATAATTATGGCACCAAGTTAATTTTGTTTGGGGATCAACATTATACCAGCATTATAAAATAATCTAGACACTTTTCTCACTATATTTTTGGTACAATTTATATAAGAAAAGAATGATCCATTCCTTGAAAATTTGGTAGGAATTACCAGTAGAGCTTTATGAACCTGGAGTTTTTTGCAGTGAAGTCTTTTTAACTTCTTTTTAATTTTAATGTATGTGTGCATATTGGTCTAGTCATGTTTTCTATTCCTCCTTTCACCAATTTTGACACTTTATAACTTTTTTCAGAAATGTATTTATTTTGTCTAGATTTCAAATTACTTAAGAGATAGTTGTTCATAGTATTTTAGTTTTTAAAGTTTTAAATTTGTAGCTACTTATTCTTAATTCTACATTTGAATATCTACATTTTCCTCTTTTTACCTTGATTAGTCTTGCTGAAGTTCTATCTTATTAAAAAGAACCAGATTTGTTTTTAAGTGATTTTCACTCTTCTTTTGTTATACTTTGTGTTGATTTATACACTTTTGCCATTTACTTTTGTGTTTCTTAGAACCCATGTTTTTTTTTGCAGCTTCCTAAGTTAAAAGCTTAGCTTGTTTATTTTTTAGATCATTCTTTTTTGACTGATAAAATGTATCTCAACCTATAAACTTCTAAATACTACTTTAGCTCTGTATCATAAATATCAGCATGTTGTATTTCATTGTCATTAAGTTCTAAGTGTTTTCTAGTGTCTCCTCTAATGTCTTTTAAACTCAAGGGCTATTTAGTACCATATTGTCTAGTTTTCATATATATGGGATTTTTGAAAAGCCTTAATTTTTTAATTAAGAAATATTTTTGAAATAGGTTTTTCTAGTTCTGCAAAGAATGTCAGGGCAATTTAATGGGAATAGTATTGAATCTATAAATTGCTTAGGGAAGTATGGCCATTTTAAAGATATTGATTTTTCCTATCCATGAGCATGGCATGTTTTTCCATTTGTTTATGTTATCTCTAATTTCTTTGAGTAGTGGTTTCTAGTTCTCCTTGTAGAGATCTTTCACTTCCTTTGTTGGGTATATTCCTAGGTATTTTATTCTTTTTGTGGCAGTTGTGAATGGGAGTTAGTTCGTGATTTGGCTCTTGGTTTGACTGTTGTTGGTGTATAAGAATGCTAGTGATTTTGGCACATTGATTTTGTATACTAATAGCCAAGGCATTCCTAAGCAAAAAGAACAAAGCTGGAGGCATCATGCTACCCGACTTCAAACTGTACTACAGTGCTATAGTAACCAAAACAGCTTGGGACTGGTAAAAAACAAAAAACAAAAAAAAACAAAAAACACACACACACACAAAAAACCACTCATAGGTCAATGGAATAGAATAGAGAACCCAGAGATAAGACCACATTCCAACAACCATCTGATCTTCAACAAACCTGACAAAACAAGCAATGGGGAAAGGACTCCCTATTCAACAAATGGTGCTGGGATAACTGGCTAGCCTTCTGCAGAAAACTGAAACTGGGCCTCTTCCTTACACCATATACAAGAATTAACTCAGGATGGATTAAAGACTTAAATGTAAAACCCAAAACTATAAACCTTCGAAGGCAACCTAGGCAATACCATTCTGCAGACAGACATGGGCAAAGATTTCATGATGAAGACACTGGAAGCAATTGCAATAAAAAAATTGACAAATGGGATCTCATTAAACTAAAGAGCTTCTGCACAGCTAAAGAAAATATCAACAGGGTGAATAGACAATCTACAGAATGGGAGAGGATTTTTGCAACTATGCATCTGGTGAAGGTCTAATATCTAGCACCTATAAGGAATTTAAAGAGAAAAACAATCTTATTAAAAAGTGGACAAAGGATATGACAGACAGTTTTCAAAAGAAGAAATATATGCAGCCAAAAATCATATGGAAAAAAGCTCAATATCACTGATCATTAGAGAAATGCAAATCAAAACCACAATGAGATACTATCTCACACCAGTCAGAATGGCTATTATTAAAAAGTCAAAAAATAACAGATACTGGCAAGGTTGTGGAGGGAAAGGAATGCTTTTACACTGTTAGTGGGAGTATAAATTAGTTCAACCATTGTGGAAGACAGTGTGGCGATTACTCAAAGACCTAAAGACAAATACCATTCAACCCAGCAATCCCATTACTGGGTATTTACCCAAAGGAATATAAATTGTTCTATTATAAAGAATATGCACATGTATGTTCATTGCAGCACTATTCACAATAGCAAAGACATGGAATCAACCCAAATGCCCATCAATGATAGGCTGGAAAAAGAAAATGTGGTACATATACACCATGGAATACTATGCATCCATAAAAAAGAATGAGATTATGTCCTTTGCAGGACATGGATGGAGCTGGAGACCATTATCCTTAACAAACTAACAAAAGAACAGAAAACCAAATACCACATGTTCTCACTTATAAGTGGGAGCTAAATGATGAGAACACATGGACACACAGAGGGGAACAACATGCCCTGCGGCCTATTAGGGGGTGGAGGGTGGGAGGAGGAAGAGAAGCAGTAAAAATAACTAACAGATACTAGGCTTAATATCTGGCTGATGAAATAATCCGTGCAACCAACCTCCATGACACAACCATCCCCCATGACACCTATTTAACCTGTACATCCTGTACATGTACCCTGAACTTAAATTTAAAAAAAGCTTTTTGTACTTAAAATACATGAAATAGAAACAATGCTAAATAAGCCCAAAACCATAAAATATAAGGGGGAAAACAAGATTACTATAGTGTACAGCAAAATAATTTGGAAAATTGGTCCTGATAATTGTTACATTCAGGTGTTTTTTTTAATATAATCGACTGATCTTACTAAAGAAATATTTACTAAAGAGTCTTGTGGTTAGGTCTGTAGTATGTTGAGGAAGACTTCAAACCATGAGCTAATAATCTATGAATGAATCCATGAATTTGCTTTTTCTACTCTAACAGGTAATAGTGAAAATACCCACTTTCTGGGGAACTTGTTTCTTGAAGACAGAGTTGCAACTCCTGCCCCCACCCACACTGGAGGAAAAGTCTTTAGGAGACTCCAGTTGGGGTGGAGGTTCAGAGTTGCCAATCTCCACCTTCATTCTTGTGAATTTCCAAGCCATGCTTGAGGGTAACAGTTGGATAGGTGGGAGAAACACACTTTGATTTCCTACAACCCCTGTGGGAATGTTACCTTCATCATTGAGACTGTCAGGAACTCCTATCCCTGCACAAGAACTTCAGATGGAGATGTCCAAAGATCATGTACAGTGAGATATGGGCTACCCACTGTGGAACCATACTTGTATGAGGCAATAGTTTTAAATACATGAGAGAAAAATTATGGGGGGAATGAGCTGTAAACTTCTGCACATGGTGGGAACCTTGACATTCTGTGGGTTGCAAAGAGGTCATCAGAGAAACTGGAGCATTGCCAGTTGGATCCAGGGAGCAAAAGGTTGGGCATGGGTGAGACTAGCATTTGGCATTAACATTTCCTAGAAGTCTTGAAATCTCCTAGGTTTTAGCACCAGAGATTTGTTCTCTCATGAACTAGCTGATTATGGAAGTCTTCCCTGAGACTATGCACGTGCTTTGGCAGGAAGTGCTCTCATTTCTGCCATCTCTGGATTCACTGGTTCGTAAGGCAATCCTTTCTTTCTTCTTCCCTCTGGCCCAAGGCAACATATTTGAGCCCACAATATGCCAGGTCATCTCAATCGTGGTTTGGAGTCCTCTTTGAGAGAGGAGACAGATCCACCAGCATCATCTTGGCACTAGTTATTGTTCCAAAAATTTTTTTAAACTTCTTTAAGTTTTCCTCATGAATAAGATCATCCTAGTTCTACTGGGATGTCTAAAGACTGTAAACAGATTCAGATCATATCTCAGGTTAATCAAAATGTTCCTGACAAAAT
Organism: Homo sapiens; assembly: GCF_000001405.40. Classification (NCBI taxonomy): domain Eukaryota; kingdom Metazoa; phylum Chordata; class Mammalia; order Primates; family Hominidae; genus Homo; species Homo sapiens. Next base: position 106,099,134 of record NC_000009.12, read on the forward strand.
TTCAGTAATCACACTAATATGGCCTGGGAATTTGTAATTTTAATCCATTCTTATTTAAATTATCAAACTATGAAAAAAATTAGCCAGGAAATTTCCTTCAAATTTGTATAAATTCTTCAAGGAGCAATCAAGTGCTACCCACAGAGGCTTTCTAGTTACAAGCTCTCTCTGTCTAGAGTGATGAGGAAAATTTCTAGCTAAAATAA